>NC_000001.11:65311410-65614441 GCF_000001405.40 Homo sapiens | reverse complement strand
GGCCTTTTCTCCCACCACCTTCAGTGAAGTTGCTTCATACACTTGTAATACAGGTAGATTCCTTTGTCACAGTTTACAGTCAATCCTGGGATCCTTCAACCTCCTAAATGATTTTCTTTTTAATCTACATGCATTAAGATTCACTCTTTGTGCTATGAAGTTCGAGGAGTTTTGGCAAATGCATAGTGCTATATACCCACCATTTCAGAAGTATACAGAATCGTTTCATTTTTGAAGGATATCTTAGTTGCCTCTAGTTTGGGGTGAATATAACTAAAGCTGCTTAAACATTCATGTGCAAGTTTCTATGTAGACTTAAGTTTTCAAATCAGCTGAGTAAATACCTAGGATGCAATGTTGCATCATGTGGTTGGTAAGGCTATGTTTAAATTTGTAAGAAATTACCAAACTGGCTTCCAAAGTGGCTGTACCATTTTGCATTTCCACAGCAATGAATAAAAGTTCTTGCTGCCCTGCATCCTCACCAGCAATTTGTATTGTCAGGTTTTTTTTTTGGATTTTAGCCATTCTAATAGATGTGGAGTGGTATCTTGTTTTAATTTGCAACTCTTTAGTGATGAATGATGTTGAACATCTTTTAATATTCATATTTGTCATCTGTATATCTACTTTGGCTAGGTTTTTGTTCAGATACTTGGTTTTTTTTTTTTTTTTTTTTTTTGAGACGGAGTCTCGCTCTGTTGCCCAGGCCGGACTGCGGACTGCAATGGCGCAATCTCGGCTCACTGCAAGCTCCGCTTCCTGGGTTCACGCCATTCTCCTGCCTCAGCCTCCCGAGTAGCTGGGACTACAGGCGCCCGCCACCGCGCCCGGCTAATTTTTTGTATTTTTAGTAGAGACGGGGTTTCACCTTGTTAGCCAGGATGGTCTCGATCTCCTGACCTCGTGATCCACCCGCCTCGGCCTCCCAAAGTGCTGGGATTACAGGCGTGAGCCACCGCGCCCGGCCCCTGTTGAATCTTAAAGATTTCTTTGTGTAATTTGGTTATAAGTCCTTTATCAGATGTGTGTTTTTGCAAATATTTTCACCCAGTCTGTGCCTTAACTTTTCATCCTCTTGACAGTCTTTCCCAGATCAGAAGTTTTTAATTTTAATAAAGTCGAACTTACCAGTACTCAAAAATTAAAATAAAAAACCCCACAATGACGGGGGCATGTCAAAGGAACATGAGTCAATTAAAAGAGCTCCCAATGACTGAAGCAGGAATATTTTCAGCAACAAAATAAAGTAGTATTGGATTACAAACCAAGTCTAAAATAAATGTTCATTGTCCATACTAATATAAATAAATGATTGAATAAATAAAATAGTTAATGTGGGAGAACAGACAAATCTCCCATGCAGAAGAACACTAAATAATATATGTAGGTCCTCTACCTTCAAGTAGGTGGAACATGACTCCTACTCCTTAAGCATGGGGACTTCATTTTTAAAACTAAAATGGAGAAAGGAGAAAAAAGAGTAACTTTCCAGTGGGAAGCCAGACAACACTACCTCAGCCAGACAACACTACCTCAGCCAGACGAGCAAGGTTAACATCAACTATGGTAAGTCACATTGGTAGAATGTATCCTTAATATGATGTGATGGAATGGCATTTTACATCTGTGATCTTCCTCCCCCAAACCCATAACCCTAAATTAATCATGAGAAAACATTAGACAAAACCCATTTGATGGAGATTCTACAAAATACCCAACCAGTACTTCTCAATTGTGTCAAGTTCATAAAAACAAAGAAGATCTAAGAAACTTTTGCAACCAAGAGAAGCATAAGGAGGTATGACACATAACCCTAAATTAATCATGAGAAAACATTAGACAAAACCCATTTGATGGAGATTCTACAAAATACCCGACCAGTACTTCTCAATTGTGTCAAGTTCATAAAAACAAAGAAGATCTAAGAAACTTTTGCAACCAAGAGAAGCATAAGGAGGTATGACTACTAAATGAAATCTGCTATCCTGGATGGAATCCTGAACCAGAAAAAGAACATTGGGTAAAAGCTAAGGAAATTTGGATTTGAAATAAATTACAGATGAGTTAATGATGACATATCAATATTGTTTAATTCATTGTAACAAATGTATCATACTAGCCTAAGATGTTAATACTAGAGAAAACTTGGTGTGGGAATACATAGGAATTCTCTGTACTATCTTTGCCGTCTTTTTGTAACTCTAAAACTGCCTTAACGTAAAGTTTATTATTTTAAAAATGCCAGAGAAATGATATTTTTTAAAAAGTGCCATACTTATCCTGTGGCCTTGTGGCTTACTCCTTAAGCAAATCTTATCCCGGTTTAAGAGGCATAGGCTTGGAGAACCGTAATCATTGAACTATTATCTCAGTTTAGGAAAACACAACAAAACAGCACAAAACAAAATTAATGAAAGGCAAATTGACTAATAAAAGGCATTCAAGGTTCTGCAAAGATGGTAGATTAGCAAGGGTCCTGTCTCCCTCCCACAAATCACCCCTAAAGAACCCATAGAGCTTTGTTGTCCAAAAAGATAGCCACTGGCCACTTGCAGCCATTTAAATTTAAATTAATCAAAATTAAATACAATTTAAAATTCAGTTGCTGAGTCACACTAGGCACATTTCAAGTGCTTAATAACCACATGTGGCTGGTTGCTACCATATTGGACAATGCAGATATAAACCATTTTCATCATTACAGAAACTTCTATTGGCAGCATTGCTGAGGAAATGTGGAATCCATGATATGAGGAAAACATAAGAACTGTCTGGAGAAAGACAACTGTTTTGTTCTAGAGTATATTGCAATGGGAGAGGGTAGCTGTAGCCTAGGCCAAAGGGCTGTTGACTACAGCTCTGAGAGGACAAATCAAAGAAAAAGAAAAGCTACTTAAATTCTGCTCATAGCTGGCCCTACCACAAACATGGGAACATCACTGCCTGTCCTTCACTGTAGAAGTTTGCAGGTATCTGGAACAGTGCCCATGGAGATAAAACCAAAAATATGAGAAAAATAATCTGTCGGGCAAGACTCTTGTTTCTTATTCAGCAGTGCCCCCTTCCGCGGTGGGTTCAACCGCCCACTCAATCTCTCAGAATACAGGTCCTGAATTCCCCGGGAGGTGGAGATCTGTATGAAGTGTTCAGAATACAATAAATGGCTCATAAATGTCTGTCAGTTCTAATGCTAACTTTAAGTTGGAAATATTAAAATGTGTTGAAGGAATGGTTTGCTAGAAAAAGAAAAGAGAGCAATAACAAAAGAAACTAAATTTTTTAAGGAGAGCAATGATAAAAGAAATGAAATAAAAGAATAAAAAATTATTTTAAGAAATATTGAAATGGAAGACTTTAGAAATTGCATTGATTATTCACCAAATGAAATTATAGAGTAACTGGATTTAGAAACCAAATGAACATAAATTCTTATATACCACAACTTTTACAGAGGCTTTGGTCTTACATCAGGAAACCATTTTCAAACATGTGCTCATTCAACCTTGGGTATTAAACTTACAATTCACATTTGGAGTGACAGAAATACTCTTTGACTTCATGTGTTGTATTCCCAAGTCAATCTTAAATTTGGCATTTACTGACCAAATAAACTATTCACTTGAAATAGAAATCAGTTCATTTGGGAGAGGATGCTTTGAAAATTACTAGGCTAAACAGCCATCATATATGGGACTATCCACTGTTTTTATGCCATCACATAAATGGAATACTCTGTCATGTGTTAGATGCCCTTGGGGTGTGCGGGGAAGGTGACATTTACATTGTTCAGGATTAAATATGAATACAATTTTTAGACTCCAAGAAACACTGCCTATCATCTAGTTCAATATTACATTTACACAGATGAGAAAACTGAGGCCCAAAGAGTCTAAGTAACTTTGCCCAAATAGTACTGACGTAACTATAATATGTGAAGCTAAGAAGAGAATGAAAGTCTCCTAACACTATGCCAGTGCTTCAGCCACTGTACATCTTAGCTCTCTTTAAATACATCTCATAAATGCAATGAAAATACAGGATTGTTGAGCTTTCCGAAGATTAATAACAGGATTATGGACCATGAAGTAAATTTTTAAGAGTATAAAAATACAATTTAAGATTAATATTAAAATTGGGAATACCTTCCAAAGTAAAGTGACATTTTTCTCCTTTTTCATAGTATCTCCATTAATTATTCTCCAAAATTCAGGTCCTCTCATAGGAACTGCAAAATGACAAGTTGTGTATATGTTTTTGAAGAAATACTTTTCAGCCATATTTGAAGCACACACTTATGCACTTTCAAAACACATTTACAAAATCTCTGCAGACCTTTTATATCCATGACAACTGTGTAGGCTGGATTGCTCCAATTACTCCAATATCCCAGTCCATCTAGCCTCTTACAGCGCACCTGAACAGCATAGACTGCACACAAGTCTGGAACTGGGAGACTGACAGATTTTGATTTTGCATCATAAACCTCATACATCTGTAAAATAAGTCAAAGCATTAGATTGATCATTACCAACACATATGTATCTAAAGGGCCCTGAAGTACATTTTATTTTAAACCTTAACACTATTCCAAAATTAAGAGAACTGATTCTGTGTTCTCTGCCTTCAGAAATAGTCACAATTAGGCTTGGATTGTAAACTCCTTCAAGTCAAGGATTTTCTTATTTATCTTGTCACTCCCTTGCTGATGATGACAAGATTTTGAACTGGTTTACTTGCAACCTTGTTTCCCAAACACTCTCTTACCCTCCTACTAATCCCTGTCCACTAATCCTCTACCCACAAAGATGTTTTAAGAATTTAAAAAGAATTTAAACGTATTGGTTAGATAGGACCTACTGTAGCAAATCGCTGATATTCAGTATTCTTCAATAGCAGCTAAACTGTCACATTTGTTTTAGTTGATATCATTGTGATCTAATGATACAATAAGGGTTTCTGATATTTCTAGGTCTTTGCAGGCTGCCGTCACAAAGCTGATGTGGAATGCCATGATAGGCACACTTGCCACTACGGGAATGACTCTGTTTGTTTGAAAAGCAGCTTCTTCCAAAATGCATTCCACTAAACATGTATGTACTAAAAGATATCAACAGATGTTAGAGAAACAACAGTTCCTTGGAAAAATTAGTTTGGGGAACATGAGATGAAATAAGGTCACAAATTTTTCTTTAATGAAGGACCTCTCCAAACCTTGAATATGTAATATGTATACCGTGACTACACAAGGAAGATACAGTGATACAGGGTTTCCTAAACTGATTTAGCCATTTAATCTTTTTCCAAGGAACATAATATGCAACCAACGTTCTATAAAACACACTTCAGGGAATGATGGATTTCAGGAAACTTTGTTCTTTAAAAAAGTTAGACTTAGATAAATCTATTTAATGAAAATAGCTACACAATACAGGAGAATGTACTTTTATGCCAATAAAATTAATCTAATGCAATTAAACTCTTACATATTATAAAAATAGCATTT
Organism: Homo sapiens; assembly: GCF_000001405.40. NCBI lineage: Eukaryota > Metazoa > Chordata > Mammalia > Primates > Hominidae > Homo > Homo sapiens. The sequence goes on along the minus strand of NC_000001.11, from coordinate 65,608,935 downwards.
AATGAGGAAAGCTGAAGTTCTAAGTAAAAGGTACCTTCCATTGTACTTCTTTTCCACTTAAACCATAGCGAATCTGGAATTGAAGGTTATTCTCTGGAAAGACTGGCTTTTCCCAAGATATTTTCAATAATCCAATGTTTATAGTAATTTCTGCTTTCACACTGGATGGAGGCAGTGGCTTCACTAGAAATTTTTACAATAGTATTAAGTGATGGTAATTTAAATAGTAATAATGCCTAAAAACATTGTGTTATATTTTCATACATCTGTATTCATCAAGCAATATCTTCTTCATAACTTTCTCACTCATTATCTCATTTGTTTCCCTATTACTTTATGTGATATATTAAAAGAGGGATTTATCTCTTTTTCGCAAATATAGACTTGACTGAAAAAAGTCAATACATTATTCATGTTACTCTGAAAGCTAGTAGTAGTACCTGATTAGAAATTGAACCATTGGCTCTGCAAGCAAAAGATAACATGCCGATCCTGGCTAACACGGTGAAACCCCGTCTCTACTAAAAAATACAAAAAATTAGCCACGCGTGGTGGCGGGCGCCTGTAGTCCCAGCTACTCAGGAGGCTGAGGCAGGAGAATGGCATGAACCCGGGAGGTGAAGCTTGCAGTGAGCCGAGATTGCGCCACTGCACTCCAGCCTGGGCGACAGAGCCAGACTCCGTCTCAAAAAAAAAAAAAAAGATACCATGCTGAACACATGCTAAATATCAATAACAAACTGTTCTCCATTGAACTTTAATTAAAGGCAAAAAAAAAAAAAACCCATGGACTGCATCAATTTCCATATGTGTGAGTGTGAAACTCTTATGCTGCTGTGTATCATTAAATATTTCTAGGTCAAGGTCAGAGATAGTCTCTCAGAGCAAAGCCTTGGTTTTCTATAATCTGAGGAAAACAGGCTTTTAATGGGCAGTAATAGAGGCAAAGATGGTCTGAATAGCAAGTGATTTTTAAAATAGATACGTATATGTACATAACAAGACATGTTTAAAGGTGTAATGTAAAAATCATAGAAATGCAAAGAAAAAGGTTATCTTCCCTGTTTTCCTATCACCTTTTTATGATGCTGCTTTCAGAGCTAAAGTAAAAACTACCTTAGGCTTAGATTCACTACATAAGTTTTCCCCCAAGTTCTTAATTTTTAACTTTGAGGGCCAATCTTCCTGACAATAACAGGCAATATGGAAATGTGGCATATTTTAAACTAAAAGCCTGAAAGCCCAAGCATAACAGTGCGTCTCTGAAGCCCTAACTCTGTTATGACTCCAAGCATCAACTTTATGATACACACTACATTTACATAGTCATGTCTTGATTATCTGCACTAAGACTAGAAGATTCCATTTAGAGGACATATATTCAGTTGGTATGTCAAAACAGTTGTTAAAAATATTAAGTACATCCATACCAACTGGTAAAGAGGTGCTCTCCTGAGGAATATCTCCTCCAGAACTGCTCAGGTTGGATGCCCTCCACACCTGCCCACGGCTCAGAACCTAAAAGGTCAATGCCTGGTACAGCAGAGGCCTCTGGGATTGCAGCTGGAATGGCCCTCCTCTTGGTCATTATTTTGACAGTCACCCCTGCCAGTGGACAATCTAAAGTGAGAGATGGCCCTTGGCTGGAATATGCAGGAAACAACTGCAGTAGCAAAAAGGGAAGCTGAAGGGCTAATGTATGAAACCATCCAACCAACAAACCACCACCAACAAAAAGAAACCTAAATAACCCAAACCATAACTAAGGCCAAATGTAGACACTCTGTGTAAGAAAAATTAAGAGAGAACTGACGATAGAGTTCCAGGGTTTACCTTCTTGATTTATTTCCCCATGTCTTATAAATCATGCTACTGTTATGATTCACAGGGAAAACTTAATACCTGGATTGGCACAATATGGGTGTTTATTATTCTCTTGCTCCAAGTCTCACTTGCCAAAAACCAACACTGTGTAAAGGTATAGTCTCCCTTTCATATGGTATTTTAAAATCATTTTTAAGCAATCAACAATAATACTTTTGACTGTTGATAACAAAAATACCTAAACTTTTTCCGTCATGTAAAGTTTATCATGATTATTCAATTCTTCATAGAACAAAAAGACATTCTCCACCAACCCAGGAAGATGATATATACTGTATTTCACCTCTTGATAATTTCTTGTCAGGAAAGGAAGTATCAATATTCAAGAGACTGTAAGAGGTTAAATCTGTGTTTGCAATTAACTGAATCATATGAATCATATCCTTTCTGCAGACTGGCAGTGAATATCCAGTCTGCAGAAAGGATATGCTTGAAGTTCAATAGTTTACGTGATTCCCTCAATACCCATGCTGGGAAGGTATGAGGAGCTGTCTACATTTTATGGATGACAAAACAGACACATAGTGCCTGTGTGGCTAGTCCGGATTTAAAGGCTAGTAATAAGTGGAGATGGTATTTGGATCCCAACGTTGAGTTACTTTCTAGTACTAAGTAGGCAATATAAGCCCAACCTAAACTCGTTATTTTAGTTTTGAAAAGGATAACACCATAGGTTATTCAAGTAACATATGTTACTGAATCCAGGCTTCATTTGTCATATCTTATAAGTGAGTGTGTTATTATCTGTGCATGTTTGGGGGAGTGTAGGAGGGTTCCTTGCTATCCTGGGATATTAAGTATCACTGCAGTAAAAATCACTTAAAATGGAATTAAACAGTGGGGAGAGAATTCATTGGGACTTTACATTGAAAAAGAAATCTTATAATTAAGACAATCTTATCGTGTATTTTTTGGTTATAGGTTTTAATTCAAATGTGTATTAATTAATTGAAAAATAATGACTCAAATATTGATTTTTGACATAATCCCCCAACAAAATAGTATATATTAATATTTTTATGGAACATTATTCTAACATGTTTCCTACTGAGGAATATTTTATTTGAGGGGAAAATTCACTGAAAATCCCATTTTTGTTTTGTTTTTAGACATCTTATCTTGAAAACAAACATTTAGAAAAGATCTACAAAAGCTTCCTTAGTTATACATATGTAACAGCACCAAAAGATATTTTTGCATTCCTGTTGCACAATCATTTCTCAGAGATTTCACAATGAACCGGAAAGAATATATCACATTTTCCAAGGGCTCTCTTAATATCTTTGAAATCAAAAGTTTTTTGAAAAGAATGTTTAAAATATAATGTATGTCATTGTTGTCTATTTCCTCCACTTCAATTTAGCTATTTTAAATGCTTCTGTGCCCTACATAGCCTCACAAATTAAAGGCTTGAGTTATGAGTACTCAGATTATTGAGAACCTCAGAATATTCAAATTAAACGTTTGGATTACAAATATTACATGTTTTCATAACTACATTGGAACAAAAACATAAAATAATGCCTTATTTAGAAAAACACTACTAAAATTCATTCATAATGACCCATGTATTTCATCTAATAGTGTGCAGAAAATATTCCTATTGCTAAAAAAAGTCTGCTATAAATAATTTGAAATGAATTCAAAACTGTAAAACTTCCTAAGGCTGATTTTCTCAATACCACTGTAAACAGGAACAATTTTTTTTTCAAAATCTAATGTGATCAGAAAATGGCAAAATATAACATTAAATCTGCATCAATCTGCATACAAATCTGCTAACACAAATGAAGACACAACGCAGCTTGACATACCCACAGAATCAGGAAGGACACATGTTGGTGGAGAGTCAAGTGAACCTAGAGAGTGATTGATCCTAATCCACATTGTGTAGCCAGATAATAGGAAGATTGGCTGGAAAATGCATTCATAAAAACCATCACTCTGCAAATAGCAATCTTTGGGCTCAGATATGGGATGAATAGATGGAATATCAGAACAGTAAAGGCTGCTCCTTTAAAAGATACAAAAATAGTCAATTAGTATACATTAATAAAAGCAACAAGAAGATATCTGAGAATTCTGATTTGTTGTTTAAAACAGCAGTCCCCAACCTTTTTGGCACCAGGGACCGGTTTCATGGAAGACAATTTTTCCACTAATGGGGGATGGGAGATGGTTCAGGATTTCGGGATGAAACTGTTCCACTTCAGATCACCAGGCATTAGATTCTCATGAGGAGCGCATGCCCAGTTCACAATAGGGTTCTGCTCCTCTAAGAATCTAATGCTGCGCTGATCTGACAGGAGGTGGAGCGCAGGTGGTAATGCTGCTCTCTCACCTCCCGCTTTGTGGCCGGGTTCCTAAGAGGCCACAGACAGGTACCGGTCCGTGGCCCAGGGACTGGGGACCCCAAGTTTAAAAGACAGGCAGAAGGCCCGGTGCGGTGGCTCATGCCTGTAATCCCAGCACTTTGGGAGGCTGAGGCGGGCTGATCACTTGAGCCCAGGAGTTCCAGACCAGCCTGGGCAACATGGGGAAACCCTGTCTCTACAAATGCACATCTGTAGTCCTGGCTACTAGGGAGGCTGAGGCAGGAGAATCGCTTGAACTGGGGAGGCGGAGGTTGCAGTGAACGGAGATGGTACCACTGCACTGCAGCCTGGGCGACAGAGGGAGACTGTCTCAAAAACAAAATAAAATTAAATTAAATTAAATTAAAATAAATAAAATACAGACAATTTCACTCCATCTAAAAAAAGACATTCTTATTAGAAAGGCATTTTTTAATTTTTCCCAATTCTATATCTTTCCACAGAAACTGACAGTAACTCTTATTAAATATTTCATTAGACACTAAGCAGGGATGCAAATGAAATAAATACTCTAAAAAGAAGAAAATGATCCAGTTAGAGACAGAACCTACAATAATTTGAAAATTAAACAAACATTATGTATTAGTGATAGAATATTTAAAATATAGATGAAAGTAGTCATGGAGCATTCCTGAGATGGCAAGGAAGGCAAATTCCTCACACTTTGAAGAAAGAATTAAATTTCACCACAAATGAGTGGTGAATATAATTTTCTAGTTCAAATTAATATAAGTTAATATAATACCAATTTCAGATATGTATGTGAATTATATAACCATGTATATTCCTCATTTTCTCAGAAAAGAAAATTTAAAAAAAATTTTATAAGTGAGTCCTAGCCAACACTCCACCTCAGAACCCATAAAGCAGGGGTGTCCAATCTTTTGGCTTCCCTAGGCCACACTGGAAGAAGAACTGTCTTGGGCCACACATAAAATATACTAACGATAGCTGATGAATCAAAAAAAAAAAAAAAAACCAGTTGCAAAAAAAATCTCCTAATGTTTTCAGACAGTTTATAAATTTGTGTTGGGCTGCATTCAAAGCTATCCTAGTCCACATGGGGGCCCCAGGCCATGGGTTGGACAAACTTGACATAAAGTCTTTTTCCTCTTCTTTGAAATAACCTCTTGGGCCAATGTTTGCTCTGAATACTATATTTAAATAGCTGAAGTAGCAATTACTCTTTCCAAAGAGATGGGAGTGAGGAAGTTAGAAGAAGCTAAAAAATCTATATTCTTCTGTCATTTTCTATTTTCTATACCACTTCTTTTTCTTGTCTTCTCAAAATTACAATCATGAATGTGTGTGTGTGTGTGTGTGTGAATAAATGGTGGTGCGTGGGCAAAAATGAAAATGAGGAGTGAGGGGTCATCTGGGGGTAGAAAATAAGAACAAAGTAGAAGCACAGTACTAGTACACTTGAAATCGAAAAGTTGGCATCATTATCATGACAGCAAAAACCATATATTGAATATTTACAAGGAGAAATTATACCATGTGATTATAATTAGATGAAATATGTCATTAACTCTCGCAGAAACACTGTAAGTCCTATTATTCTCTCTGTTTTACAGACAAGGAAATTGAGGCTTAGGGAAGTTAAGAAACTCACCCAAGTAAATGTAGTTTCATAGTTATTCTGTAAATGTTAATAAGAGAAACAAGGCATGGGGCTTAACATAATAGTTTTCCATAAACACCTTTTCTAATGTGAAAATGCCATGAAAAGAATGTAAAGACAGATTATAAAAGTAAAATTTCATATCATGAACAATTCTACTGATTTTAAAATACTCATATTAGGTAGGATGAAGGCAGCTATTTGAGAAATGTACGAATTGCCACATTTTTTTCCTAACGCTACATAAGAAGAGACTGGCAGCATTAGGAATAGACTTCAGATCACAGTATTTGAGAGAAGGGATTTATTTTTCTAGTTGAAAATTTATATTTTAAGAATAAATGAGCATGTTATACAAATTGAAAGTCTCCACTACAAATAAAAATATAAATTGGGACACAGTGTTTAACAGCAGTATATATTTACTTGACTACTACTATGGGATATTTTTAAAAATAAAAATCTATTATATAATCAAGGGTTGTATCATTTTAGATAAAATGATTTTAGAAAGAAAGGGACCACTATAAGACGATGCCTTGAATTCTTTTTAAAACATAGAAGAGTAAAAATAAACAAGCACAAATTACTTCTCATTAGAACACATTACCCTTTATTAACCATAAGTATTTATTTCCTAAGTAATCTCACTCAGTTCTAAAAACCATTCATATTATCTCTTATAATCTGTTTTTACCTCTTTTTTCCAAAACATTAATCTTTAGCCAAATGATACGAAACTTTTATAATCTTTCACATTCTCCTCTAGTCAACTAAGTCAAATTAAAATATATATAAACTACATTTTCTTGCATTTCATTCAAGAGTTAAAATACAAATTTTTCAGAATTGATTGATTTTCAGAAAAGATAATTTGAAGTAAAAACAAATTACAATTTTTTAATCTCAGGTGTGAATATTTTTCAAGAATCACCAATTTATATAATCCCTCAAAAATTTCCTGATTCATTATATTATACTTTCCTCTTTCAGGAAGCAAATAATCTGTAAGACTACTGTTGTAATATTTCTAAAGAAAATTTTTATCTCACTGTGCCCACAGAAAAACAAAACAGCAAAAATAATACGTACCTATGATACCTCAATTGCAAAGTGCTTTCCGCAAGTGACTGGATTGTACTGGTTGACCATCTGCAAGTCATTTTAGTTAAGTACCCATCAGTTTCACATGAGATATTGATATTGACATCTATTTGAAACATATTAAAATATTAATATAAAGCAAAAACTCCAAAAAATTCAATGAAAAAAATTTTTTCTTACATCTTTAACAGGACTCTAATATAAGGAGGGTCCATAATGAAAATTCAAGTTGTGGAACAAAATGAACAAAACCTCTGTTTTCTTACCAATCACATATAATTCAGCATAGCGATGATGGCATTCATGTTCATTGCAGCAGTACACTGCATCATAGGTAAACTTTCCTCGAGGTTTGGTTTCATTCAGATTGAAAAAAGTAACTTTGCTAACATGATCACTCACAACATCATACTGGCTTTGAGGAATTTTCTCAGCTAAATTCATCCACCAAACAATCTCTTTTGAGGGAACAATCTTGTTTTCCTTCTTATAGATGCAGTGAAAAGAAACATTAGACCCAACACTTGTCAGAATTTTAGGTGGAAAGTATATGACATCTGTAATGAGGGAAGAAAGGATATCAGATGAAGACAAAACATTCTGTAAGTAATTTGTACCACATCGAAAAATATTCACAACACATTCCAGAGTTACACTGCCAAAAATAAAATGAGTGTAATTTAAAAACTGGATAATGCTGAAATTACCTGTTTGTGTACAGTTATCTAGTGTCCCGAGTGCTCTCATTCTAAAGTGAGTTGAGCTTCCATGAATGTCTTTACTATCTTCTAAACACAGAGGCTTATTCATCATAAAATATGTTTTAGCCAGTAATTGTCACTTGCTAACTGATAGGCAGGAAAGTGACTAAAACAAAATATAGCTTAATTCAACAATGACATATTTTCCAACAGACCCTGCTTTGGGAATCAGTGAAACTAGGACAAGTTCTTAAAGCAAATCACTATGAAGCCAAATCCTGAAGTAAAAATGATTGCCGCTATTGTCTTGTTTGGATACATAAAAATTTCAAGTAAGTAGGTAAAGATACGAGATATAAATTAAAAAATAGGAATGTCGTATGAATGATAATGCAGCAATATACAAAGCAGAGAAAATGGGAAATACTGGTTTGTACTATCATTTTGAGTTATTTAATGCCAATATCCTATGGATGAGGGTAAAGGGAAGCGATATTTTCCTAAAACATGATTTTTTTAATGCCTACACATGATTCTATACTATTTTTAAAGTCCTCTGTTGTTGTAAATTTCATTTGCCTATCATTTTCAAAGACATGCGAGATACAAGTAAATGATGGTTTACATAGGAAGAAATTATTTCCACCACAGTGCACTGCAAAAACGTCAGTACATTTCAGTTGTAAAGTTAAGGTAAACCATTTTCTGTTGATAGACTATGAAAATTTGTTTTCACACATATCTTGGGATTACCCTTAAAAACAGAAACAAAAATACTTTAATTGGTTTTTATTAAGTTTTCTTTATTCTGTAATAGCATGGTAAACGTCAATGTCTATATATTTACAATTCATACAAAACATTTGTGTTTTGTATGTCCATAATCAAATAGAAACAGGAAAAAACTTAGTAGCATAAAATTACTGCACAGGAGCCAGACCATTAGATTTATGAGCGTGACTGAGTATAATCCTAGCCGAGGTGGCACTCAAGCTTCACTTGTACATTACTTACTGTGGACAAGTACCTAGTACATTAACCTATCTTAACCTACCTTCAGTATGCGCCACAACCTCCTTACTCAACTGCCTCAAAAGTCTCAGAATAATTCTTATTTAAAAATAAAAAATATAATTGAGTTTTCATGGATTAAGCTGAAGTTTTTCATTTTAAAGATGACAAGAAAATTCAAAGCATTTCACTTTGAAATCAAATACATATAGTAAGGCTTAACTGAGAAATAAGATTAAAGTCATAGTATTTTTACATGATTAGATGCTAAAATATTAGCTTAAAATAAGAAAACTAAGTTAATAAAAACCTGACAATTTGTGAAATTTACACTGGATAAATTTATTGAAATTGATATGAGATATTGAATATTTAATTTGCAAAATTTTAATAATATAGATACACATTTTATCTGCATATGACATACTATGCAATTTTTAATTTGCAGAATAAGAAAACAATAATGGTTTTCTTCACATGACCAATGTTAATTATTTCATTTCATTATTTAATTTTATATGGATATTTCATATCCATGTAAAACATCCCTATTTTACAGATAAGGAAATTAAGGCATAGAAAGGTTAAGAAACTTTCCAAATAAGTGGTGGAGCCAGAACTCCTATAAACTTCTGTTGGACTCCGAAGTCAATGTCTTAAACTACTATTGCTACTTGCCTTTTGACGAATCAATGCTTTTAAAATAGTAAGCAATCAACAAGTAAACTTGTTAAATGGATTGATATTTGCATGGTACCTGTTATCTCTGTACAGGCCATAATCAATCTCAGTAAGTCTGAACAAGAAAAATTTTGCCCTTTTGACAGATCGGACAACCAGCCAAAGGACTATTGTCTTTCTATAGTCCCAACTTTGCATGCAACAGGTCTAGGACCATTCCAAGCCTCTGGAGCCTCTATGCAAAACTTTGCGCATCAGCTGCATGAAGAAGCTGTGAATGAACTGTAGATGTTCCGATGCTAAAAATAACCTTTAAAATATGAACATTGGCACTGAAAACTCTCAAAAGCAAGCATCTGGAGTAAAAATAATTCATTTATTATATAATATAAAGTAAAATGTTAATATTTGAATTTTATGTCAAATAAATATGCTTGGTTTTAAAATGTAAATTAAGGAATTATCAATACAAATGGCTTTCTGAGTTTGTTAATTTGGAGCTGTTATATTAATTTTTTCTTTTTAATAGGAAAAGTGATCCTACAATATACTGCAATAGAAACACACAAGCCTAGAGGCTCTGACAGAATTTTAATTCACAAATTGGCCTGTTCAAAGTTTAAACAAGGAAGTTGATACTGTGTTCCTCCTTTCATTTTAAGGCCTCAAAATGTAAGATGCTTATACTATACAAAGGCAAGTTCAGGAAATATATTTCCCTCCCAGTAGAAGTGGCTATTACATAACCTACCTTGTGTGGTAAAGACACGAGGAGTACTCCAGTCACTCCAGATTCCTGGGCCATCCAGTCTCTTGCCCCTCACCTGAACCTCATACGAAGACCCAGGAAGTATACTGTCTACTAGCAGGGATGTAGCTGAGACAATCTTGTCAGCCTGTTAAATATTATATTAAAACATCAGAACATCAAGTTGATGTGGAACCTTTACTAAAAGTGAGGATAAGCTAATCTCATCAAATTTCAAAGAATTAATATCTTACACAGTAGTTATCTGGCCACAGCGGAATTAAAACAAACATCAATAACCAAAAAAAAAGTTTGCACATTAGTCAATAAAATTTTAAATAGCCCATGGGTCCAAGAAAAAATCATAATGATAATTAACAAATACTGTTAATTGAATCATGATGAATATATGACCTTTAGAATTTTAAGAAATGCAGCTAAAATCTGTGGGAAGCTTTAAGCCACTACTGACACCTATAACACACACCTGGTAGAAAATGCTGTGCAGGGGTAGACAAAGAACTACAAGTGTCCCTGTACAGAAGAGCATGAAAAGTCTTAAGAACCTGAGCCTGGTCAGGCATGGTGGCTCATGCCTGTAATCCCAACACTTTGGGAGACCGAAGTGGGTAGACCACTTGAGCCCAGGAGTTCAAGACCAGCCTGAGCAACATAGTGATACCTCATCTCTTAAAAAAAAAAAAAAAAAAAAGAGGCAGGAGGATCACTTGAGCCTAGGAGATCAAAATTCAGCTTCCCAAAAATGTACTCCAAAGTTAATAAATTCTCTGGCTCTAATGACTGCTCTTGGGGTAAGGGGAGCATGTCACAGACTAAAAATTATGAAAAGCATCAGGAATGCATAAAACAACATCAGATATTAATAACTCCTATTTAAAATCCTCAAGTTCACAAATTATCTCCAGTTTACAGATAAGAAAGCTGAAACCCACAGAAGCCTTAACTCTGTTTTCTCCATATGTGACACTGAGGATTCCCATCATTCTCTTTGTGAAAATAAAATGTTTTAAATTTTTTTGCCAGTTCTAAAAAGACTGATTTTTACTTCTAAATTATATGAAACTTAGTTTCACAAAGTAAAGTGCCAAAGTATTCACATGGCCCAAGAGGCCTTTCATTGAGCTCCACATTCTCTTCCCCTGCTGGCCTCTGAATTCAACCACTACTGCTGTCACCTTCACTGCCCTCAGCCACACCATCCTTTGCACTGCTGTTCTCCCTGTTTAGAACCCAACTACCCAGATATCTACATTACCATCTCCTTCACATCCTTGCTCAAATGTCACCCTCCCCAACCTCCATTTATTATTGCAACCTTCCATTCCCTACCAGCACCCCCAGATTCCTCTTATCCTGTCCTGCTATCTCAGTGTATCCTGATGCAAGCAGAACAGTTCCAGGCATGTAGCAGGTGTTCAATAAATACTTACGGAACGAACTGTTAAAGAAAAAGAGAAAGGAAGTAAGGAAGACTTTATTTGGAATCATCACAATAGGTATATGGAGCACTGCAATGGGGTCTTGTGGTGGGTCGGGGTATGTGGGCTAAGTCCAAACACAGCATGGACAACAGGGAATTTATAGCCAAGAAGGAGGGAGTAGATAGAAAATTACTAAGCAAAAACATCATGGTAAGAGGGATTCTGGCTAAACTGACCTAACAGAATTCTTGCTGAAGACAGGCCATGGTGATCAAACATCATTTGGGGAATGGTGGAGGATGAGAAATCTGATCAAATATTCATCAGATATCCAGGGTGGGGGTGTTCCTGCTAAAATGACCTAGCAGAGTTCTTTGCTAAAACTGGATTTTACAGGAATGTGCACAGATCGGGCTAGCAGAAGATTCAGAAGCTCGACTAATGATTAGCCAAGCAAAAATCTTTCTGTTGCCACATTCAGAAAAACATTCAAATAGATTGAGCAATTAAAAAAAAGATGAAATCAGTGGTCTGTTGGTGGAAAATAATTGTAATTATGAATTCAAGTTTCTGTAACTAGATTTCCTATAGCCATATATATACATACGTATATCTATCTATATATGATATATAATATGAAATGTTGAATTATAATTCATTCTGCTTTAGAAGAAATGTATATATTTAGTATGCAGAGGGTAATTGCTATGGGACTTAAGAGGGTCTTTATTTACTTCTCAACTTTTCCTTTTACTTACTAAAATATACTTACTTCTCTGATAACTGTTGTAGAATTCTCTGAATATTTCACTTGATATTGAAGTGGAAATGGTACCAATGGTGGGCTGGACCAAGAAATCTTTAAATTACCATCATCTGTGATTTCCATATGCAAACCTAATGGTGGATCAGGCTTCACTTAAGGAAAAAAAAGAGAATACTTTTAAGTCAAGTAATTTTCATGACAATTATAGCTGAATAAAATAAAGTCAAGATAAATTTTCATCATATCTTGCCTTTCAAGTACTTAAAAGGTGACTTTATCCAAGGACTAATTATAGAACCGAAACAAGCTTGAATACTGGGTCTCGTCCTTGTACCTTATCATAGCAATCCATGTATATTCATTACCCTCCCCTTAAGTGGTAAAGACTATGAATCAGTAAATGAGATTATTTTGCTAAATGTGATTTCCCCTTGTAAGAATCCCACTTAACTTTATTAAACCCAGCATCCTAAAACTTATCTGAAGTCTCCCCTGAACCTCACCCACTTCAATTATTTTAGTGGTTAAAAAGGAAAAAAGCATTTTGCAGAACACTATTTGGAAATACACAAAACTACCCAAAATTCAGCTTGTCTATTAATTTTAGATCACTATAATCTAGACAAACCTACTCAAATAACTGACAGCATAAATATTCCCATGCAATAAATGCAGCATCAGCAGTCCCTGGCTTGTCATCAGAAGTAGGGATGAAGTTTCTCAGAATATTAAAAATGTTTAATGTTTAAATTTTGAAAGTTTAACACACATTTATACTTGGATTCCTGATATAGTTAAAATATAAAGATCGCCAAAGTGATAGAAAATCGATGCATTTTCTTGTTTGTTCATCTCTATATTAGCAAGGTTTTTACAATTAACAGGAATTATTCATATATATAGAAATTATCATTAAATTGAAACACTGATTTGAATTTTATTTTCAATAAATAAAGAGCATAAGATAATTTTCACATTCTATATTTTCAAGAATTTGGTCACAATTTTCCTCTTTTAGTCAAAATCAATGAGGTTTTACTTTATGAGACGTATTATAAATTTCAGTTACTTTAAAGCAGAGACAGCTAAACACAAAAGTCTGGAAACAGCAGGTGAAATTTACTGTGTTTCCATGACCAAAGAGAAAACAATATATACCAAAGAAAAGTAAAATTACAATATTACAAGCTATTGTACATTTCCTATCTGCATACTGTAAAAGTTATCAGTATCAAACTGGAGTTACTAGTGTGAAACCCTAACACAATGGAGTTGGGAGGCCATGAAGGAGTCCCCTTATGTATATGTATGCCTACATTGGAACAACGTAAAGAATTCCTCAAAACCACAGTATTCCATAAAAGCCGCTTGCACAGAGACACTTGCCTAACTACGGCTGTCTCCACCAATGAGCTAATGCCACCCCTGCAGCAAGCTCTTGTAACCAATAATCTTTGTTCAAAACAGCTTACATGGAGGTCTCCTATATGTCTTTTCAAGCTTCCCCTTTACTCCAATCCCCTGTGGATGTGTCATAGTCATTCCATAGCATGCATGTCTAGAACTGCAATCCCCTACTACTCCCAAATCAACTTTTTGCTTTATAGAGTTGGTATCTGTCATACATTTTAGGTTGACAATATTAATATGCATTAATATTAGAAATACAAAAATAAACCCAATGTCAATTTCCTGTTCACCTTACTCGGCCTTTCAGCAGCACTCCATAGATGCTTATTCCCTCCTTCTTGAAATATTTTTTTCACTTGGCTTCTACAACAACATACTCTTTTACTCCTTCATTCTTACTGATAACCCCTCAGTCTTTCTCTTCCTGAACTCTAAATAGGTGATCTCATACAATACTATAAACCTTGATACGCTAACAACTCCCAAATATATATATCTCCCCTAAACTTTAGACTCATATGTCCAACCTCTTATTCAACGTCTCTTAGGTTTCCAATAGACATCTCAAATACAATGTGTCCAAAATAGAGCTCTTGATTTCTGTACACACACCTAATCTTCCCTGAGTTTCCGTATCTCAGTATCTGGTGTCTCTGTTCACCTAGATGCTCAGGTCTAAATTTAAAGGTTATCCTTGATACCCCTCTGTCCTTCACACTCTACAACTCCATCCACTAGACAGTCCAGTCAGCACCATCTCACAAACAGATCCAAACCAAAACAGTTCTTTACTTCTCCACCCTGGCCTACAATATGCTCTGGACCAGGTAACTCTGACCTCATCCCTTAATACTCTCATATCTCTTTCACTCCTAGCACAAAGGTCTTCTGTTTTGTTCCTCAAATTACCAAGTTCATTGTATCTTAGGGATTTTGTGAATATTGTTCTTCCTGCTTGGAGCACCTTTTGCTCTGGATTTTTGCATGGATATCTCTTCTTCATTCAGCTCAAATGCTATGTCCTAAAGGAGATCTTCTTTGATCTACATAGTAGAAATAATAGTCCCTGACACTCCATCACACCAGTTTTATTTTTTTCATGGAACATATAATTTGGGGATATTATAATATATATTCAAATAGAAGGAAATACTTTTCCCCAAAATTATCTCTGCATAAAGACAAAATTAAGAAAGCTTTCAAGTTCTTTAAAATTCCACAGCACTTTCCCTTACCTACTTCATTTTGAAAAACAATGCACTCAATGTTGACTCTAAATGCTACTAAAAAATCATCAGGTAGAATTAGTTTTCAAAGAAAAGAAAATGATATTGAATAAAGATTTTGTAACTTTTTTCTCTATGGTATAACTTCACGATTGAATTGCTTGTATGCCATTGTAATTATGTTGTGGAGATCACAACTATATCCCTACAGGACAAATTATTTGAAAGTCTTCATGTTAAAATATGATGTCATACACAGTTTCAAAAAGTGCTATATCTCGAGTAACTTAGAAAGAAGTAAAGCTTGAGTTGTATGGAAAATTGTATCAGATACTTGGAAAAGCAGCTCTAGTGATGTCAAAACCAATGATGCAAAATCAGACATAAAGAGTTTGCATATAATTGTTTCAGGAAATATAAGTGGAGAAAAACTGCTAAATTATACATAATTAAATGAAATTAATAAATTAAATACATAGCGCTAACATTTTCCTGTATTATTCACATTTGTAATTGTATATTTAAATTGATAAAAAGAGATTTGGGGGATCTTTGCACAAAGAAAACAGAGTGTTGTCTATTATTTGAAGTTTTTTGTAATCATGTTTGTACAGTAAATTACTCATTTACTCTTTTATCATTGTCTCTGCCTACTATTGTTTGTCCCTGCTCTCTGAGGTGGGAACTATGTCTAATGTCCCACTCTTTTTCCAGCTCCTGGAGCAGTCTCTGACAAACATGAGCCTCTAAGAAATATTTATTGAAGGAATAAATTCAGGCAAGAAACATGCTACTATTTTCAAAAATAGTTATCTGAGATGTGAAAAAGTGATATCCAATCAATATACATCCATTACATAGATCCAGGATTGAAAGAAAACAGTTTTCAAAACAGAATTTAAGTGACAATGGCAGAGATATACATACCATTGTTAAATCATTCTAGAAGCCACTCTTAATACCCCCAGTACTACATCTACCATCATTACAGTGTTAAGCAAAGTGAGATAAGCTAGCAAATATTTTTGTAAGCAATTTTTAACCTTTATATATGACTGATGTTTAGACCTATTATCATCATTTTAGTGCATAACTTACCCATATTTATGGGCTGAACTGACATTAGAGGTGACTGGAAAATTACTCCACCAGATGTGATTTTCAAACACATAAGGAGAGTGTCGTTGAGTTTGGCTGTTGGCACAGGCACAAGACATTCACAACATTCATGAACACTGCAATTGCAGTGAACCATCTGAAAACTGCCTTTTTGGGGAACCAGAGGTGAATCTTCTAACACTTCAGGCCTATATTGAAAAATAAGAGCTAAATATTAAAACAGATATGAAAATACTGGATAGGCTTTTAAAGCAGGATACTAAATACTAATTGAAGTAAACTATTTGGGACACCCAGCTTAAAGGGTATCTGAAAAAAAAAAACCCTACATTAGAAAAACAAAGATAAAGATTACAGCAGGTTAATCATCAGGAATAACATAAGCAAAAAGATAATGACGTAAAAGTGAAGTACTAAAATAAAAGAAAAACTGCAATTCTAAAATCCTATACCCAGCGAAAACAGCTTTCAAAATAATGATGAAATAAAGGCTTTTTTTTTCAGACATACCAAAGCAAAAATAATTCGTCACCATCAGACTTGCACTATAAAAAATGCTAAAGGCAATCCATCAGGCAAAAAAAAAAAAAAAAAAATGACAGCAGATAGAAATGTGGTTTCACACAAAGAAATTAAATTTAACTAAAATGATAAATATTTATTGATTGTTTAAAGCAAAAATAATAGATCCGTGGTGTGGAGTTTACAACGTAGGTAAAAGTAAAATGTATGGCATTAGTACCAAGCTTGGGAGGGGAGAAATTTGTAATGTTCTTACACGAAGTGGTATGATATCACTTAGAGGTATACTATCTCTTGGACTATAATAAATTGAAGACAAATATTATAAATGCTAAAGCAACCACTAAAATAATAAAACAAGAAAATATAATTAATAAGCAACAAAGGATATTAAGTAGAATCATTTAAAAAATCAAAAAGAAGGCATAAAAAGAGGAAAGGGAAACAAATAATAAAATAGGATAAGAAAAGAAATAAAAAGATTTAAACCTAAACATATCAATTTTCACACTAAATGCAAACAGCCTTAACATCCCATTTAGAAGGCAAAGATTATCATGCTGGATTAAAAAGACCCAATTATAAACAACCTACAAGAAATCAATTTTAACTATAAACACAAATAAAAGGAAATGAACGGGAAAAGATATACCATTATAAGATTAGTCAAAAGAAAGTTGTAATGGTTATATTAACATCAGAGAAAGTAGATTTCAAAGCAGTGAATATTCCATGGGATAAAGATGATCATTTCATAATGAAAAAGGGATCAATTTACCAAGAGAACATAACAATCCAAAACATTTATGAACCCAATAACAGAGTTTCAAAATACATGAAGCAAAAGATTGAGAGAACCTTAAGGAGAAATAGACTAATCCACAATTATTGATTAATTTCATTTCATCATTGATGTAACATTCTTCTCCATTGATATAACAAATAGACAGAAATTAGTAAGGATAAAAACGTGAACAACGCATCAACTGACTTGACCTAATAGACATTTCAAGAACACTCCATGCAACAATAGCAGAATGCACATTCTTTGCAAAAGCATTTACCAAGGAAGACCATATTCTGGTCCATAAAACAAGTCTCAATAAATTTTAAAGGATTCCAGTCACACAAAAATAGGATTAATAACAGAAATCAATAACAGAAAGATATTTGGAAAGGCCCTAAATAGTTGGAAACTGAACACAACTAAATAATTCCTGGGTCAAAAAACATATCAAAAAAAATTAGAAGGATTTTTTAAGTACATGAAAATTAAAATACAACATATTCTTTAAGGTAGGATATTGCTTACAGCAATAATTCCAGGGAAATGTGTTTAACACTAAATATAGGCACTAACTGCCTATATGAGAAAAAAAGAAAAGTCTCAGATCAATGACCTCAGCTTCCGTCTTAACAAACTAGGAAAAAAAAAAAAGAGCAAATTCAACCAAACTTTAAAACAGATGAGAAATCATAAATATCAAATCAGAATATAATGAAATAGAATACAGAAAAATAATACACAAAGATCAAGAAAGCCAAAAGCTGGTTAAAAGATTTTAAAACATGAAAGAAGCTTTAACCAGACTGTATTAGTCCATTCTTATGCTGCTAGGAAGAAATACCCAAGACTGGGTAATTTATAAAGGGAAGAGGTTTAATTGATTCACAGTTCCTCAGGGCTGAGGAGGCCTCAGGAAACTTAGAATCATGGTGGAAGGACATGCAAACATGGTGGCAGCAAGAAGTACAGAGTGAATGTGGGGAAAAGCCCCTTATAAAACCATCAGCTCTCATGAGAACTCACTCATTATCATGGAGGTAACCGCCATAATAGTGAAGAACAGCATGGAGGTAACCACCCCCATGATTACCTCCCACTGGGTTCCTCCCATGACACTTGGGGATTATGGGAACTACAAGATGAGATTTAGGTGGGAACATGGCCAAACCATATCACAGACTGACCAGGAAAAACCACAGAAGTCACAAATTAAGAATATAAAAACTGAAAGCACGATATTGCTACACAGTCTACAGATATTAAAAGGATAATAAGGAAATATGAATAATTTTATGATACTGAATTTATATTGGATAACTGATGAAACAGAAATTATTTTAAAATATCATTTACAATAACATCAAAAATAGAAATACTTTGTAATGTATTTGACAAAAGATGTTTAGGATCTGCACATTGAAAACTATGAAATGCTGTTGACGGAAATTATTAAGACCTAACTAAAATGAGAGATGTACTGTGCTTATGGGTCAGAAGACTCAATATGGTTAATATGCCAGCTCTCCTCAAATTTATCTACAGATTTAATGCAATGCTACTCACAATCTCAACAGGCTATTTTACACAAATTGACAAGATGAATCTAAAAATTCATATGGAAATGCAAAGAATCTAGAATAGCCAAAACAACTTTGAAACTGAAGAACATATTTTGAAGAATAACAATACCTAACTTCAAAATGTATTATAAAGCTGCAATAATCAGGCCAATGAAGTATTCATGTAAAAACAAAAAAAAGTAAATGAATGGACCAGAATAGAGTCTAGAATAGACTAACACTTACATGGACAACTGATTTTCTACAAAGGCACAAAAGAAATTCTGTGGAAAAATGATAATCTTTCTGATAAATTGTGCTGGAACAATGGAATATCTATATGCAATAAAAGAAAAGAACTTTAATCCATACCTCACATCAGATACAAAAATTAATTCCAAATGAATCATAAATCTAAATGTAAAACCTAAAGCTATGAAACTTCTAGAAGAAAACATAAGTAAAAAATTTTGTGACCTTGTGTTAATTAAAAATTTCTTATATATGACACAAAAAGCATGATCCATAAAAGAACAAACTGATAAATTAGACTTTATCAAAATTGAAAAGTTGTTTTCTGAGAAGCACTATGAAAGATAACAAAAAGACAAACCATACACAGAGAACATATTTGCCAATTATCTATCTGATAAAAGATTTGTATACATAAGGTATCTACAATACTCAAAACTAAATAATAATAATACAAACAACCCAGTTAAAAAGATAGGCAAAATGTTACACAGTCACTTCACCATATAAATCATAGTTATGGCAAATAAGCATATGAAAGGATGCTCAACATCATTAGTCACTCAAGAAACACAAACTAAAATCACAATGAGATATCACTATCCACATACTAGAATGGTTAAAATTTTAAAAAAAGACTGACTACACCAAGTATTGGTGAAGATGTGGAGGAACTGGAACTCTTACACTGCTGATGGGAATGTAAAATGATACAATTTTGGAAAACAGTTTGGCACTTTCTTAAGTTGTTAAACACACACCTACCACATGATGTACCCATTCCATGCCCAGGCATTTATCCAAGAGACATGAAAACATATTTCAATTCTAACACTTGTGACAACTTCATTTGTAACAGTCAAAAACTATAAACAATTTAAATGCCTATCAACAGGTGAATGGATGAACAAATTGCAATATAACCATTTAGTGGAATGCTATTCAGCAATCAAAACGAATGAAATACTGATATAAACAACATTAATGAATCTCAAGATAATCATGTATATGAAAGCACAACAAAGTACTGTATGATTGCATTTATATAAAGTTCTAAAAAATGCTAGAGTAATAGTAGGCTATGTGCTAGAAATCAGATCAGCCATTCCCTGGGGACAGAGGTGGGGTGGGAGGAGGAAGTACCAATGGTAGGAGCATGAGGGTGGGATTACAAAGGAGCAGGAAGAAATTTTCTAATTGATGATATATTCACTTTCTTTATTATACTGATGGTTTTATGAGTGATTTCTCAGATCAATATTTGTCAAATTTATAATTTAAATATGTACAGCTTATTATATATCAACTATACCTCAATAAAACTATTTACAAAAAGAAAGAAAATCCAGGAAATTTTTGTAAGCAATACCTTGCCTATCATTTTAAACCTTCAAATAAGTAGGTCAATCTTAAAAAAAAAATTATAATTAGCTGGGTAGGGTTACCAAATACAGGGCATAAAAAATAATAGCATGCAACCAAGAACAGACAGTTGTTATTTCTTACTTACTAGATTTTTTATAAATCTGCCTCATCCTTTAGGGAGTCTAAGTCTTGGTGTAAATGAAGTGACTATAGAATAAGAGCAGTGGGGAGAAGAGTGTGGAGTAACAGTGTCTCTGTCTACCCATCTCACCTGTGCTGCCCCATTCTATCCATTAATATCTGCTACCTCATATCGAAACCACACTGTTTTTCAAAGAACCTGGGGATAGGGAGATAGTGCATGATCACTGCCTTCAGAAATCTTGCAGTCCTTGTAGAGGGAAAACACTGTAATTAACAAATGTAATAATTTAAAAATCAGTATGGAAAAGTGTTGCTTTAGAAGCTATAATAAACTAGCATATATATGAGCATCCAGATATAAAAAACATGAAAAATAGACCCTAGTCTTTCTCTGCATACCCCACTAATATGAAATGTTTTGAATTATGATATATTTTCAAGTAATAGAATTTATTATTACTTTACTACTAAAAAAAATCAACCCTGAAACAACATTTGCATGGCTTTAATGTGCCAAGGAATCTACTGGGAACTGTATAGGGGATATTAGTGTCAAAAGCACACTAAATTAACATTGAGATCTAAAATCAAGTACTTCTGTTTGCTTATTAGCCATAGGATCATGGACAAGTAAGTTTATATTTGTGAGCCTCAGGTTCCTGAATCAATAAAACCAAGACAATCCCCGAACCATCTATGTTTACAAGGGTGTGAATATCAAAGACAATAATCACATAAAAGTATTTTTGAGAACTGTAAAATGCTATCCACCCATAAAATATTGTTTTGAATTAGAGGTAGCCTGATTTAGCACTTTCGATTTTATCTAAATCTTTAAGCAAAGCAAACAAAATGTAATTTTTAAAAATATCAAGCCAGACCTTTTAGGTGTTTTTCAAATATTAAAATAAAAGCTTTTACAAAAAGTCTGTGAACAAATTGAATAAATTGTGGTGTTTTATGTCGGAAACATTCTTGCAAGGTATTATGCTTTGGCTGAAAAACTTCAGAATTTTAAAGCAAGAATATTTGCCTAAGTTGAGCACAAAACAACAAATATATTCTCTGCTAACATTTTAAATGATAGAAAATTTTAGTCATATTTTAAGACAAAAAGAAAAGTTAGAATCACATCATCTTACTTTAGATGGTCTTGCCAAAGCCATCCTTTTCTAAATACACTGAATATTTGTAAAAAAGGGCGAATTTAAAATCAGATTAACTCTATGGTTTCCTCATCCCTTCACTGATGTATTTTCTATTTATTCAATCTCTTTTTCATTTTGTTAATAATTGTAATACACATGCAAAACATCATATAGAGTATATATCCTTAATAATGACTATATAGTATCTACATTATAAAATATGCATTATAGTAATTCATTGTTTGTTGGTTTTTAAAAAAGCTTTCTGTAACCATGCCAACAGCTAACCCCATCATGACACTATCAGCATCAATCTAAAACTAATTTCAAAATGTTCTAAGCTTGGGATCAGCAAACTCTGGCCCACAGGCCAAATCCAGCCATCTGCCTGTTTTTGTACAGCCTGTGAGCTAAGAATGGTTACTTACATTTTCAATTAAAAAAAAAAAAGACTGTTTCATGATACATGAAATTCAAATTTCAGTGCCCATAAATGTAGTAACATTAATTCAATTTACATACTAACTATAATTGTTTTTCTGCAAGCACAGAGTTGAATAGCTGTGACCAAGACAGGATGGTCCACAAACCCCAAAATGTTTACTATTTGGCCCTTTAAGAAAAAAGAAAATTCTCCCTCCCCAGGTATAAGCCAAAAGTATTTTGTACTCCCTACTGGTGGGTATTTGATGGGCAAAGGACACAAAAATAGAGAAAGCACATTAAATATATCATCAAATTTCATTATTACAATTTACATGAAACACCTTTAGTAATATTATCTAATCCAGTTTTTCAAAGCACCCTTTGAGGGAACTAACATCATCTACTTTACAGGTAAGAAAACTGAGATTTGGAGAGAAGGTAGACCTGGAACTCAACTGAAGTCTTGTGCATCATGTTCAATATTCATTTCATTACACCCAACGTGCCTTATTGTCACAAGATAAATTTCACTGTTATCATCACCATTTTATTTAGAGATCAATAAAGACCATAGTAACCATGACTAAAAAATAATTATAACCTGAATCATGTCAATATTTTTATAAATGGAAAATTAGAGAATTATATAATTACTTCAAATGATTCTTTTCTTTAAGGAAAAACATTAGCTATTTCCTGTATTTGTGAGAGGAGTTTCCCAAGTTTGTGTGAAACCTGGAATCCACCAACCTTGTTACATGCCAAAGTCAGTATAAGAAGTTAAGAACTCTGTTTTTACTAATATCAAAACATACTCTAACAAATTTGATAATTTTAAAGTATGAGAATAAAAGGATCATCAAATTTTAAAAGTAACAGGAGATATACTTGGCTTAAAACAAGCAAACATTAAGAATTTCTGGAATTCTTGAAAATTTTATATGCAACAAAATATTTTATGCCTTACCAGTATACATACACATATACAAACTCAGTGCCACTATTTATTTAATACCTCTACATGTAAATAAACTTTACTTGAAAGTGAAAATAGTATGAAAACAGTTGTCAAATGAACTTAAAATTTTGTCTCTTTACCATTTTTGCCTTTTTGGTAATATTTTTACACAAAAGGTAGAGATATAATTCTTTAGTATTGGAATTTCATTTTTGGTAGCCATACATGGTTTAGAAAGAAAGCACATTCTGTCCTCTGACTTTTGGTCCAATTTTTCTTCCCAGAAAATGTGAATATATTAAAGCTTCTCCAAGCAAATTCTATGCTAAATTATTACAGGAATAACACCAAATTGGTGCCACCTAATTTTCTGATTGTAATGTAAACTGACAGCAAAATAGTGAACAAACCAATGAAGTGGAATTAGAAAATTTAGTATTAGTTTTGTAAATCATTTAATCAAGTCACTTATTTTAAATTTCAGATTGGTAATCTATAAAAACATTACCTCAAAATTTTCTCTTGCCAATCCAAAATAATTTGAGACTGAGTTATTGTCCCAGACTAGACTCATCATAAAAATCACCTGGAGAACTTGTGAAAAAATAGATTCCTAGACCCCATGAGGAATTCAGAAGGTCCAGAGCTAAGCAATCTATGTTCTGAATAAATGCAAGCAATCTAGTTCCACCCAGACCTATTGAATGCCAAGTAAGTAGTGCTGACCTAGATAAATCTTATCAAGGAGGAAAGTTTAAGAAGCATTTTGTAAAATGCAAAGTACTCTTCAGATGTAAGATATCACCAAATAAATGGAAAATCAACAAAGAGAAGAGAAAGTGGGAAAAAAAGAAGAATGCAAACTGAAACAAACAGAACTTAATGTCTACCAAGTTAATAATATAACCACCTGAAGGGAGAGGGAAGACCTATCCTATTTAACTTTGGAACATAATATTTGACCATGTACCCATTAGCCTTAGTAAAGGCAAAATGAGTGTAAACAATATTGCACTTCAGTTAGTACGCTTGTTTTCATTTTTCACAGCAGTATGGGATAGCAATGCTAAAACTGCTTTGTGTGTATTCTAGCACTGAGCAAATAAGTAACACACTGTGGGAAAGGGAAGCCAGGTTTCTTTCTCACTGCTGGAGAAGAAAGTTACAAAACAGAAAGAAAAGAAGTTTAGAACGGACTGTGCAGTTTTGGCCTAGAATGGGACATATTAGTATGAACACACACCCTTTAATACATGTACATACAGAGATATATAGATATATAGATTTGTGTATATTATGTACACACATTGTGTATATATTGTGTGCACTAACTAGCTCTGCACACAGAGAGGGCTAGAAACAATAACAACGAACAACTATCCTCCAGACACTGGTTTGTAAATACCATTCTTCAACAAAAGGAACGATGGCTCCTTGGAGAAATGGCTAATTCCAGTGTTATATCAGGAAAAGTATAAGATCAACCTGGTACATCTTATACTGCTAGAAAGAAAGACGATTTCAGTAATAAAATAAATGATGTAACTTTTGTAGCCCACAAACTAAAATAAGAATCCATGAGTCCATCCTGATAGAAAGGAAAGAAGGGAAGGAGAATGAAAAGTGCACCCCTTACAGAGCCTAGCACTATGGGCTGCACACCATAAATACTATTTTATTGAATAACATTATTCTAAATGCCCAAATTAATATTTAGCATTTTTGTTTACAAAAAATGCATTTTGCATCTTTAAAAATGTCACTGGGTTCTTTTTTACATCTTCAATTTCCTGTCTCATTATATTCATATTTTCCTTTACATTCTTGAACATGTAGAGCATATTAATGATAGCTGTCTTTGTCTACCAATTCTATCATCTCTGTCATTTCCGGGTCTGTTTCTATTGACTATTTTTTCTTTTTCTCTTGGTTATGGGTCACATTTTCCTATCTTTTCATATATCTAGCATGTGTTTACTGGCTGCCAGACACTGTGATTATTTCATTTTTGAATATTACATTGTTTTATTTTGCCTTGAAGAGTGTTGGATTTTGTTCTGAAAGTCAGTTAAGTTACTTGAGCACTAATTTGAATCTTTTAGGGCATCCTTTAAGCATTTTGGGGAATAGTATAGTGTAGCCTTGACTCTAAGGCTAATTTGGCCCCACCTTTAAAGTATAGCTCTTCTGGAGTTCCTATGAAATGTCACTGATACCCATTAAGGTCTCTCCAATCTCGTTTGTGGGAACTTGAACGATTCCCAGACCTCTATGAATTCTGTGAATTGTTTAGCTTATAGCTCCCTGATAACTGTTCTCTTACTAGAAGTTTTTCTTACCCAACATTGTGGCCAGATTGATATTCAGCCAAAGAGTTAAAGTGGCCCCACTGTAAGTTTTTCTGTATGCTCCTGCTTTCAAAGTACTCTGCCCCATGAACTTGAGCCCCTTACCCTCTCTGAACTCTTATCTCTGCAAGATTGTTGGGCTCAGCTTGAGTTCCTCAGCTCTGTGCCATGTTCTGGGAATTTTCTACAGTTCAGAAAGCCTAAGTACTAGGAGTACTCATTTTGTTTCCTTCTCTTAGGAATCACAGTTCTGTCTGTCTTTGTCCAATGTCTGAAAATAATTATTTCCTACATTTTTTCCAGTTTTCTAGTTGTTTATCACAGGAGAGTAATCCAGACCCTCTTATTCCCTCGTGGCCAGAGTCACTTGTTGACTTTTTTATTAACTTTTGAAGATATAATGTATTCATACAATTCAAAACTTTGTTTTCTTTAAAAGAAGTAGTGAAATGGGGTGGTTACTTGACAGAAATGTGTAACAGAGAAAATTTATTTTTTTAAATGGGAGTTATTATATCGTGTCTATTAGCTGAGAGAGAAACATGATGGTGCAGAAAATAGAGGATAATGGCAAGAAAGTCCTTGAGTTGACAATAAGAGATGGGACTCAGAACACGTAACAAAGGGTTTGCCTTAGATCAGAACTCAAAGAATTTATTCACAATAAAAGAAGAGAGGAAAAGTGCATGGGCACTGATACAGGCAGCCTGGTAGATTTGGGTGAGAAAAGCAATCATTAGAGAAACTCCACCTGCTTCTGTTGTCTCAGTGAAAATAAAAAGCAAGATCATCAGTGAGTCTCTCTGGCTCACTCTCAGGAAAGCCAGCTGCAATGGTGCAGGCTGTCCTATGGGGAGATCCACATAACAAGGAACTGAAGGAGGTCTCCAGCCGATAGCCAGGGAGGAACTGAGGCCCTCAGTCCAACATCCCATGAAGAACTTGGAACCCCAAGAATTTATCTCAAAACTAGCTCCTCCTGAAGTTGAACCTTGAAATGACTGCAGTCCTGGTGGCTGACACCTTCAGTGCAGTATTTGTAAGAGACCCTGAAGCAGATACTCCTTTCCCATTCCACCCCACACTAAGCTGCAGCTGAATTCCTTAAAAACAGAAATTGTGAGATAATAAATGATTACTGTTTTAAGCCACTAAGTTTTGGGTTAATTTATTATATGACATTAGATCACTAATGCAGATACTGGAACTTGAAAGTGGGGTGCTGCCATAATGAAAACCTGAAAATGTGTGAGTGGCTTTGGAACCAGCGGACAGACAGAGGCTAGAAGGATTTGGAGAAGCATGGTGAAGAAAACCTAAATTGCCTCGAACAGGCTGTTAGTAGAAATCTGGCGGACTTCAAAGACTCTGCCAGTGAGGGCACAAAAGGAAGTGAGAGATAATTTATTGGAAACTGGAGAACAGTGGTCCTTCTTGTGTAGTAGCAGAGAGCTCATTAACATTACCATCTGTAGTTATGTGGAAAGTATAGAATGTGCCTATTGAACTGAATGATATATTTAAGGAGATTTCCAGCAAGTGTTGCGGATGTCTCTTGGTTTCTTCTTGCTGTAAGAGGAGAGATATACATTGAAGAAAGGGCCCTTAAACAAAAGGAAAGAGGACTTCATAGTCTTGAAGTGTCTAGCCTCTCCAGATAGCAAACACTGTTAAAATTAAGAAATGCCTTCTGAGCAAAGATCAAAGAGAAGACAGAGAAAAGATCTCTAGGAGATTTGCAGGCTTTTATCATATCTAATGGAGTGAACACCAGAGAGATCCACTGGAGGTCCAGGTAGTTTTGTGAGAGAAGTGTATTAGCAGAAATAGTGCTAATATAGAGACAGAAAGAGACAGAGACAGAACAAAATGGAAAAAAAAAAAAAGCCTTTCAACCATTAAAAATTGTGCTGGTAGGAAAGCAGGCTGTGAAAACAACTTAGATGCGCATATGGGCTGCTTTTCATGAAGAAGAGAGGGTTACTCAGGCCAGAACCTGGCACCCAGAAGGGGGAGCCAAGAACCATGGAGAATTATTCCTGAAGTTGAGTAGTAGAGGGAATAAACTAACATGAAGGGTGCAAGGGGAGATGGTCAAAGAGCAGGATTCTTGACATGGAGATTATAGAAAAAGCATGCTTATTGGTGATGACAAAGTCTCGAGCATGTCCATGACAAGGGGTGAACAAAGTGGTGTGAAAATACAAGAATATTGAAAATAAGCATTCAAGAAACTGAAGATTAATCACATGGATGCTGAAATCATCAAGAATGCTGGCAGGAGTAATTGTGAAAACAAAGTAAAGTAGGTGTTAGTAGTTATAGAAGCCCAAACTCCAAGCATGACCTGGAGGGCCCTTCATAATCTGACCCTTGTGTATCCCTCCATCCTGATTTCTCTTCATTCCCCAGCTTCCCAGTCCCACCACACTCAACTTTTCAAGTCCTGCCATGTGGTATCTGTGCCTCTGGGCCTTTGCAAATGTTCTTCACTCTCTGGCTCATTCTCCTCTGCCCCCTCTTCACCTGGGCTGGATATCCCTAGTACTTGTTTCCACAAGGCACTGTATTTATTACAGCACAGCCTTTCCAAACTTTGCTGTTATGTCTTCTGTTTTTACCACAGAATGTTAGCTCCAGGAGGGCAAGGGCTGAGTCTGTGTTGTAGAACCTTGTTCCCCATGCTCAGCTCCGTGCCTGGAACACACAGTAGGCACCTAATAAAGAAAGAGAATTTCCTTCCTAGATCTAAGAGAAAATCTCAGAGCAGTTTCAAAATATTACATTTCTAGAGTATCTGTCCTTCAGACTCTCTGACAAACATTAATATCTGAGCCCAAACAAAGCTTTCCCTTAAGGGACATATTTATATGGTTTTAAATCCCTTACAAACATTAGATTTTATCCCTTTTAAAATATACTTTTTTACACATGGAAGCATTTGAAAATTTCTCTTGTGAATTCTCTGATGTCCAAAATAGGTGAGTCTGATTCAAAGCTTTTCTATAGTAATCACCATTATGGATTTTCTCTTCCATGGAGTTCTCATTGGTTATATTGACCAGCTCTTCCTATATTGACCAGCTCTACCCATTGAATTAGAGTCCTATTTAATTGTTTGGAGATACATTGCCTTAAGAGCCAAACAAAAATACAATTAAAGGCAGAAACAGCATGTGATAGTTGGTGCAATGAACATATTAACCAAATCATAGAGGTATATAATGTGGCAGGAAAAAAATGGGAGACTGTTTCTCAAATTCCTTGAAATTATGACAGGTTTTACTGTGCTAATATTTTTAGAAACCTAGGTTCCAAGTAAAAGAAGACCAAATTAAAAATCATCTTGTAAGAAAGTTTGAAAATCTACCTAATTTACCTAATTTTCTCATTCTTCTGGGTCCTATTGTTTAGAAGAATAGACCAATGACTGTTTGGCTGACTAAACTGAAGCTAAAATTCTCAGCTATAACTAAGTAACTATTCAAATTTATAATGCTCTGAAATTATATATATCTATATATTACACATATACTTATCTTTTTCAGAAAAATACCTCATCATAATTATAATATATACATAATAGAATTTAAGACCTTACACATATTCACGGGGCTTTAAAACTGAGCATTTTGCCTTAACCTGCTGATAAGATCAGAAATTGTCTAGAGTAGGCACCCAAGTGAGAATTTTTAATCACATCCAAAGCATTTAGGTCATTGCAAGAAGGTACTACTATGCAAAGGAATACTTTTCTCTGAGCTAAAGCCTATTTTGCTCAATAAAGCAGGAAACTGCCCTGAGCTTCAAATATATCTTCATCCACCATAGGGCTTCCTTTCTTCTCTCAATACTCAGAAGTTGAGGTAAACCTTCTTTAAGACCAACCCTGTGCTCTTTTCATGGAATTGGCCTATTCCATTATTCACTCTCAATAAAATATCTTCAATGGCTCCCCTTCGATTATCAACTTTTCTCTCCCTGCTGGGTCACTTTCTATAGACTAGAAACAAACTCATGATTTCATCCTTTAATTATCCACCCTGGGACATTCATTATCCATTAGTCTTCCACCTCCACTTTCCAACCCCAGCCAGGCTTCTCAGGCCTCTAGAGATTTATAACTCAGTCACTTTTGTTAAGGACATTTGTCTACTTGCTGGTTGCCCAATATCTGACTGAAGAATCTACCATCATACAAGGCTGAAACACTGGCAGCTAGAGCACCTTCTCACCAACTAGATAACTACATCTGAGACACTAGCCCTCATGACGATTGCACAAAGATGCAGGGGCTTGTAGGTTCATCAGTCGTGGC
Organism: Homo sapiens; assembly: GCF_000001405.40. Lineage (NCBI taxonomy): Eukaryota > Metazoa > Chordata > Mammalia > Primates > Hominidae > Homo > Homo sapiens. The sequence goes on along the minus strand of NC_000001.11, from coordinate 65,579,017 downwards.
ATCAGGTGACCTCCATGTGGAAATGATGACCACAGGGACATTCAATGTCCAGATATGATGGCAGTGGCACTATATCTGGGTTCCTCCTCTGGGTGACTTAAAGAATTAGTCCAGTGGTCTAACACTAGTAATAAATATTAACTACAGCCTGGTAATCAATACAGAAAGAAGAGCAGTGGCAGCTGTGCATATTTCCTCCCTTACAGTATGCTTGTGTGTGTGTGTGTTTCTATATATTAACTAATTTCTTCTCAATCTTTTCCTTCCCCCTATTATTTTATATAAGGATTCCTGGAATTATTAAATTTACAATTTTATATTTAGCTTCCACAATATTCATTCAGGTGAAACAGTGATTGAATGTGAGGAGCAATTAATACTGCCCAGAGAGCAATACTGTACATGTTGCACAGAAAACATAATGACAACTGTGACATAGCATCATCCCATTTGGGAGAGAGAATAAGACTGTCTCCTTTTGTTCAAAGTGTAGCCCACCACTCCTCACCCCCTGGGCAGCTCCTGTGGCTCAGACAGGGGCTGTGGCAGGAGGAAAGATGCCACAGCCTGAGTCCTGGAAGGCCACTGCCAGTGCTGCAGAAATTGAAAATGGCCCATTAGTTATGCTAAGTCTATTATGGGAAGTGTCACAGTTCAATATTTCTGTTATGGGTACATTTTTACATCTGTGACCTGTGCAGTTTTGGTTTTTGTTCATTTCAACTTCGGTGAAGTGACTCAGCCACTTAAGAATGTGCTCATCCACTATTCATAATAGCAAAGACTTGGAACCAACCCACATACCCCTCAGTGATGGACTGGATAAGGAAAATGTGGCACATACACATCATGGAATACTATGCAGCCATAAAAAAGGATAAGTTCATGTCCTTTGCAAGGACATGGATAAAGCTGAAAACCATCATTCTCAGCAGACTAACACAGGAACCGAAAAACAAACACTACGTTCTCACTCATAAGTGGGAGTTGAACAATGAGAACACATGGACACAGGGAGGGGAACATCACACACTGGGGCCTGTAGGGGGGTGGGAGGCTAGAGGAGGGATAGCATTAGGAGAAATACCTAATGTAGATGACGGGTTGATGGGTGCAGCAAACCACCATGGCACACGCATACCTATGTAACAAACCTGCACTTTCTGCACGTGTATCCCAGAACTTAAACTATATTAAAAAAAAAAAGAATGTGCTCAAGGGGCCTGGACCCCATGGACCATTTCCAAAACAATTCTATTCCTGATTCACTCAAGGTCCAAGTCTATTACTAGAGCCACAGTTCGAAGCAAACAAAATTGATGATGTGATGGTCATATTGAAGATCCAGAAAAAGGCCACTTGAAATTGTCTTCTGAACTAGGCATGATTTTTAATTAACGTGCTCAGGAGTTGAGAGACGGGCTATCAGAAATGTGCTTTTAATATGCTTATCAGTAACTGCAGGCTACCACAGAGATGTGCCAGGGACAAAGAATACAGCATGTAAAGTCCTACCTCCTGACCTGCCAGTTGCTTACATAATTGTTATCTGTTTCCACAATGAAGCTTTTTCTGCCCTGTCTCCAGATGCTGCACATTGTCACAAATTGCATGCCAGCAAACCTGCTTCATGAAATCATCTTTATGGATGTTGTTAGCGACCTTGATGACTTGAAAGGAGGACGAGATGAATATGTCCAAAAATACCTCCTTGGAAAAATTAAGGTATAAGAAACATAAAGTGTGAGGGATTGATTCAAGGAAGAATGAGTGTAGCAGTCCACACAACAGAAGTCCTTGTGTTCCTAGACAGCCAATTGAAGTGAATGTGATGTGGCAGCAGCCCTTGCTGGCTGTCATCTGTGTGGACTAGCAGACCATGATGTTCTCAGTGATTGATATCATTAGTGCCAACACGCTAGCCTACAGCTCATCCTCTGTTGTCCGTGGAGGATTCAACTGAGGGCTGCACTTCAAATAGGAGCTTGTTCCCCTTTCTGAGCTAGGATGAGCAGAAAAAGCCACAGCACCAACAAAGTCACCGATAATGGCTGGAGGATTGTTTGCCAGGAACAGACAGTATTTCCAGGAACTTGGACAGTATGATACTGGCATGGATATCTGGAGAGGAGAAAACTTGGAAATAACATTTCAGATCTGGGTGTGTGGAGGTAAGTTCTTCATCATGCCTTGCTCTACAGTAGGACACATTTTCCAAAAAAAGGGGACCATATGGATCTCCTGAAGGCCGGGATGCCATGAACACAACTTTTTGCAGCTGGCACATGTCTGGCTGGATGAATAAAGGCGCAGTATTTTTCCTTAAGACTTAATCTGGAGAGGAAAAGCTTTGGAACCATCAGTGAGCATGTTGAATTGAGAAAGAAGTTAGGATGCAAATCATTTGAATGGTATTTGGGTAATATTTACCCAAAGATGCAGATATCTGGGACCCATGACAAATCCCAGCAACCCACTTTTATCAGTAGAGGGCCAAAATGCCCCAAAGTCCTTCAACTTGGAAGGCTCTATCACCTCCAGACCAACAAATGTCTGGTGGCTCAGGGCTGCCCAAGTTGGAAAGGAGGCCTACTAGTGCTTAAGACTTGTGAGCATGGGGACCCAAATCAGATCTGGATTTATAATGAAGAGCATGAATTGGTTTTAAACCATCTTCTTTGTCTAGGTATGACAGAAACTAGCTCATCAGACCCACCACAACTCGTGGAGTGCCATGGGTCAGGCAGACATGGACCTTTGGGGAAAATAATTGGCTACACCAGACGTCAGCTGGACAGTGCCTGAGAGCAGTGGCTCCACAGGGTCAGGAAGACTCTGTGGCTATGGCAATCTGTGATGGCTCCTCCTCACAACAGTGGCAGTTGGAAGCTTAAGGTGGACACCGTGGCAGAAATGGTGCTTCGTCGGGCTTTGCCTCCTCTGTGAAGTGTAGGGCTTTAGAAAGAACGTTGTTGGTGCCAGGAAAGCCTTGGTTTGGTAGAGCCATCTTGGAGAGGATGACATCTCCCGTCTTCCTGGAGATGCCTGGGAATGTTAACAGAGGTAACACAGCAGATCTGATAGAGATGGGAGCACTGAGTGTCCGCAGATGAAGAAGTATGTTTCACCAAGGCACTGAGGTCATTTCTGAGCTTCTATTAAGGAATTTCTTGCTTATAGAAGGAAATCAGAATATAATTTTAACTCTAGAGTTTCATTTGTACACAATGACAAAACTCAGCAAACAGATGTTCCTATTCAAATTTATTTATGCCTCTTTTTAATCCCCTTTAATGATGGAATGGTTTTTATCTTATCAGGAACTTGCCATGATTTTCTTAGAAGACTTCACAGGAGAGAATTATATTTTTTTTTAACTTATCATTTGTTTAGTATGTTCTAAACAGACAATTTTTAAAAAATGAATCTACATTATGTTTAACTTCAGAAGGCATCATTTATAAAACAATATTTGAGGGGCAGTTAACTATTATAAATTATTTTGATGAATTATGATACTACATACACATGAAATAAAGGATCTTTTTGATTTTTTTTTTAAAGTATAGTTGCACTTAATTAAGTGAAAGCATGAAGTTATAAGGAAGTTGTAGGGAAAGGTAGGTATGCGTAGAAAGGTGTGTGTGAATGTTCTAAGTAGCCAATGAGCCAATGAAGTGAATTTTGCTGGTGGTTAAGCTATTGACTGCCATCTTCAAATGCACCCTATGCTCTGTTTCACCATGCTGGGGCTGGAACTCTGCAAACCATAGTTCTCCTCTGCTACCTAAATTCTTGTTAAATTCTACCTGTGGGGGAGCTAGAAAGAGACTAGAATAATGGAGTGACAAGGGAGTTGATCCTTCCTGTTTTGCCTACCATTCTTGAAATATCACTCCAGCCAAAGGTTCCTCACCTGGGCAGCAGCAGTTGGTCCCAGTAACCAGGTTTTTTTCATATTCTCAGCACCAGCCATAGTATGCCTTGGATATATGAATTCCAGCTCTGCAGTGTCCCCCCATCAACTGAATGAGGAACTAGCATAAAGATCAGCTCTTCCGGGTCCTTTCTTCAAGTTTCCCTTTGTTCTGGCAACCTCTCCTTCCGCTCCCCCGAATGAGCTCTGCCTAAAGACCCATTACTTTCACACTGCCAAATCCGTACATATCATTCAGACCTTATTATATCTTCCTGCTATATCTGACCGTTGACTACTCACTACTCACACCTTCAGACAATATTATTTTTTTATTAACTTTTTGGCTCATTAAGACATTTCTGGAGGGTAAATTGGAAAATATTTTAGAAAGCATTTTGGCAATATGTATTCATTCAACAAATAATTTTTAAACATTGTGTAAATATTTCCATTGTGTTAATTTCTAGAGGTAGAACAACTGTTAAACATAGCAAGTGCTTTGTGAGTGCATTTAGTAAGTGGTACAGCCAGGTAGTCTGACTCTAAAATCTGTCATATTAACCTCTACAGCAGGAATTTTCAAACTTGAGTTCCATCAGAATCACCCAAAGGACTTGGCAAAACATATATTAATGAGCTCCACCCCCCCTAATTTTTTATTCACAGGGGTGAGCTAGCAAATTTAAATTTTTTTTATTATTATTATACTTTAAGTTTTAGGGTACATGTGCACAACGTGCAGGTTTGTTACATATGTATACATGTGCCATGTTGGTGTGCTGCAACCATTAACTCGTCATTTAGCATGCAAATTTAAATTTCTAACAAGGTTCCAGGTGATACTGATCTCTTCCCAACACTATACTGCCCACATATTTTCTCATTAGCTCTTATTTATCTCTAATGACTCAACTCAGCTATCTACTTCCTTAGGAAACCTTTCCTCCTCTCTTCTCTCACCAGCTTAACTAGATAACCCCCATCTAAGATCTCACAACAATGATGGGCTCCCATGACATTATGTACCTACCAAATACATATCGGTAACCACTTAAACTGAAACTCTGTACATACAGGTCCCAACTGCTAGCCTTTGAGCACCTAAAGGACAGTGATCGTAACCATTCATCCTTTTTTACATGTCTTTAAGTTTCTTTTTAAATTTTTACTGTAATAAAATGTATATAAAATTTAACATTTCAACCATTTTAAGTGTACAGTGCAATGACATGAAATACATTCACGTTATTATGCAACCATCACCACTCCCCAACTCCAGAACATTTTTCATTTTCCCAAATTGAAACTTTATATCCATTAAACAGTAACTCCCCAATTCCCCCTCCTCTCAGCCCCGCTTTACTTTCTGTCTCTATTCATTTGTATAGGGACAGTTTCTAGCACATTGCTCCTCAACGGTATTATCTCAATAACTGCAGAACTGAAGGAAGCGAGACTTTAAGCATCAAATAGAAGAATTAATGAGAAAGAATTTTAAAGAGTTAAAATTGACATAAAAATGGTGTATATCATCACTAGAGTAATTAGAAAACTTAATGACATATTCGCTGTTTGAGTTATAAGTATATGGCTATTTGAAAACAATATCTTTGTTCTCTTTCTAGCACAAATATTAGCCACCCATATTTTTAAGTTTATAAAGAGATCGAATACGAAAAATCATCTGAAAAAGAAATATAAAACGCACCTTTTTTCCTTTTCCACTCAAATATCTAGCACTCCTGAACTGAGTTCACTCTTCTTTCAGACTACATGCCCACCTATACCTGCAATATCTTTGTAAGGTACATGGATGTGCTTCGGTCAAGAATCAGGCCAAGGCAGATGTCCAGGCCTGCATGACTCAGCGAGTAGTGCGCAGGCATATAACTCCATCTGTTATCACAGCCATGTAGCCATAACATGGGAAGGCCATCCCTTGGCCATATGCCACTGTTGTCTGTAAAAGGTATAATTGCCCTGCTGACACTCTACAGATGTTCTTGTACAGGCGCTCTTGTACCCAGAGAGAGAGTACCAGAGCTGTCAGTCTTGCTCTGACGAGGGGAGCCAGGGCATGGCTCAGCATGGCACAACATGGCACAGCATGGTTCATGTTCATGCCCAGAGAGAGAAAGAGTTAAGCTGCTGACCCTGAAGGCAAGAGAGAGCCAGCCGTGCAGCTGTGCATAGGAGCAGCTGGCCCAAGCAGTCAAAACAGAGCAGACAGTGAGAGAAAGCTGCTGCTAAGAGAGCTGCTAATGAGAGACCTAGTTTGAGTAAGCTGCTGATAGAGAGCTGCTGAATAAAACTACGTTTCACCTGTTTAAGGCCCCCAGAGTGTTCGTTCAGCTATTGCCCATCCACCCACTCCCTTCGGACCTCAGTGTGAGCTAGAACCTGAACTTGAACTGAACATTTGGTATACTCATGGACCTGACAATCGTGACCCTAAACCTGACTGTCTTGCTACCTCAATTAGCAGGAGGAGAAAAGAGGAAACCTAACAGAGCAGAATGCTATATTAAAAAATAAAACATATAATAGGAAATGTAGGGATGCAAGAGGTTTATAATCTACTTCCGTATATGAAAGCTCTTTTAAAAAAACTGTGTATTAGAAATGCCAAATTAATTATTTGGTACTTACAGAACATATAAAAGATGGACCTTATAGTTATAATTCCTGAATAGATTCTTAAATAATGACTCCACATAACAGATGAATAATTTTAAGTCTCCTTTTAGCCAGCACTGTATGTTCCAGTTTGCATCTGAATTTAAAAAAAAAAAAAAAAAAAAAAAAAAACAACTACATGAAATCTCAAAAACCATCTGAACAACTCAGTGAAAGAGAAGAGCTAAATCAAATTTACCAGTGTTCTGATACAACTTCCATTGCCTATTCTGAGAGAAAAAGAACAAGCTTTAACTAGTGGCATGCGTTTGCCCATCACTTAGTCCCTCTGGCCCTCAGTTTCCTTTTTTCTAAAGTAATAGAATTAAATTCAATTATTGCTTCTCAAATTTTCTTTAATTTCAAACCACTTAAATAGGACAAAAGAGCTCAAAACTCACCTAGCTCAGTTCTCACTTTTCTTTTTCTTTCCTTTTTTTTTTTTTTTTTTGAGATGGGGTGTCACTCTGTCACCCAGGCTGGAGTGCAGTGGCATGATCATGTGATCATGGCTCACTGCAGCCTCCATCTCTCAAGCAATCTTCCCACCTCAGTCTCCTAAGTAGATGGGACTAGAGGCATGCACCACCATGCCCAGTTAATTTTTTTTTTTTTTTTTTTTTTTTTTTTTGGTAGAGATGGGGTTTCATTATGTTGCCCAGGCTGGTCTCTAACTCCTGAGCTCAAGTGATCCGCCCGCCTAGGCCTCCTAAATGCTAGGATTGCAGGCAGTTAAGCCACTGTGCCCAGCCTTTTTTTTTTTTTTTTAACATTAGACAGGTAATGTGCCAACATCATAACAAGGTCTGAGGGAGGCACATCTCACTCATACATGTGAAAACCCAATCATCACGCTTTTAAGGGAGGAAAAGATATGCCTGTATTTTCATACTGGAGGTCTCTCTACATGGATGAGTCAATTGACTCCACTCTTCCTAGCTTTTCCAAAAGACTTGGGATAATTTTGTTGTTTATATTTCCAGATGCAGAATTTTTAACTACACTAGCTACAATCAGTATGCATTATACTTAAACAAAAAAAAAGAATTTTTTTCTTTTCTTTTTTTGTTTTTCCAACTTTTATTTTTAGTTCAGGGGTACATGTGCAGGATGTGCAGGTTAGTTAAATAGGTAAACATGTACCATAGCAGTTTGTTACACAGATCATCACATCACCTAGGTGTTAAGCCCAGCATCCATTAGCTATTCTTTCTGAAAAACCCATCTTTAAAACGTATATTCTTTCAGAGATATTCCTTGCCTGAAGAATTATTATTATTCATGAATATTTTAAAATTTAACCAATTCAACAATATTATCAGTCATTTGATATTTTATACATTTAACAAAAATAAGGTGTGTTTTTCTATTTCAAAGCAAATTTAGAAGACTACAAGGAATGTACTTAAAAGTAAAATAATTCCCTCATTATATTTTTATGGGATACAAGATAATTTGGAAATTATTTATTAGTTTGTTCACATAATGAATCCTAATTTTATTATCCATATAAAAATGATTATGTATGTTAAAATCATAGCCATAAGACATCTATTTCATACAGGTATCAAAGAATTAAAAAACATTGTTCAATACATTTAAAACATAGCTAATGCTTACCTATTTGTTGAAAAACTAAAGAATTTACTGTTGAAACAAATGTCTTTCCTTCAATGTTGTCTGCACATAAGGAGCAGTTTCTATCTTGCTCACTCCGAAAGCAACAGTGGAAAGTTGTTTTGGATAAGTTAGAAAAGTGAGTACCACTTGAATTAAACTTAGGTTCAACAGCTGTCTCATAATGTCCATTCGAATTTGAAGTATTCTTTGAGAGTCCAGCAGGCAAAAGGAAGTAGTCATAGGTTGAATTTGGTGGCATGCAAGACAACTTAAATCTCCAAGGAGTAATTGGATATGACAAGTTAAACGCAGTTATCACATAAATAAATTCTGTTAGGATATTAAAAAGACACATAGAAAAAAGTAATCATTTTGACTAAGACATGAATAGAAAGTATCTGAGATTAAACCATGTAGTGCTCAATAATTATTTAACTTTCTAAGTCCTCAGTGAGTGTCTAATGAATAACTTTGTGCTTCCATTGTACAATGTGTTACATTCAAGAGGATGCATTCATTTGTAGAAATTACTCCACTTTCTGACATCTCTTTTCTTTTTGAAGACTCACACTTCATGTTTTCTCTTTAAGCTGACATTTTATATTTATGTTTTAATAAAAGGAAACAAACACTGAATATTTTATTTTTCCTTTCTAAAGCATATTATTCTAGCTTCCATTATAAATGATAAATATAATATCCAGTATAAATGATAAATAAATATCTGGATGTGCAATTATATAAACAAACATTAAAGTGCTATTTTAATATGTATTTAAGAGAGTAACACCAAAATATTAACACTGCTTTCGCTGAGCACTTTTAGAAAGAATTTGTCTTCAACATGATGATGGCTTGATGATCTCCTGAATTTTCCCATGATCCTCCAAATACAAAACATCATCATATAAGACATGCCCTTAGCACATTACACAAAAAATGATGCAAAAGAATAGACTTCTTATGGGAAATGCCCACTGCTGATTAAATTATCACTGTTTAAATATAAAAATTAAGAACAATTATATAATCCTGTACCAAAAGATCTGCAAAAGTTAAACCTTGTCTTTTTTTTTTTTTTTTTTTTTTTTTTTTAAGATGGAATTTCGCTCTTGTTGCTCAGGCTGGAGTGCAGTGGCATGATCTCGACTCACTGCAACCTCTGCTTCCCGGGTTCAAGCAATTCTCCTGCCTCAGCCTCCTGAGTAGCTGGGATTACAGGCACCTCCCACCACACCCGGTTAATTTTTGTACTTTTAGTAGAGACGGGGTTTTGCCATGTTGGCCAGGCTGGTCTCGAACTCCTGACCTCAGGTGATCCGCCCACCTTGGTCTCCCAAAGTGCTGGGATTACAGGCATGAGCCACTGCACCCAGCCAAACTTATTTTTAAATATTTGTTTGAAAATAAAATAATTCTCCATAATTGTTTTTTCAGTAAGTTACCCAAATGATGCAACAATTGTGTTGGCTTATATAGACACTAATGCAGAATACGAATTCTGAGAATCTTGTATGGATTTGTATGAAATGAGAATTTTGAAGAGTTTGGCAAATGTAATAATGTAAGGAAATAGAAGTAAACATGATGTTCATCAGTAGGTGAATGGGTAAATTGTGGTACATCCAGACAATTAAATATTATTCAGGGCTAAAAAGAAATGAGACATCAAGTCACGAAAAGATACAGAGGTTCCAGCACTCTTCCAGAACTATGCATCCAACAAAGGACTAATATCCAGAATTTAGAAGGAACTCAAACAACTCAACAAGAAAAAAACAAATAATCCCATTAAAAAGAAGGCAAAAGAAATGAAGACATTTCTCAAAAGAAGACATACAAGCAGCCAATGAACATGAAAAAAATGCCCAATATCACTAATCATTAGAAAAATGCAAATTAAAACTACAATGAGATACCATCTTATACCAGTAAGAATGGCCATTATTAAAAAGTCAAAAAATAATAGATGTTGGTGAGGATGCAGAGAAAAGGAAATGCTTATTCACTGTTGGTGGCAATGTAAATTTGTACAACCTCTATGGAAAACAATGTGTAGATTTCTCAAAGAACTAAAAGTAGAACTATCATTCAATCCAGCAATCCCACTACTAAGTATCTACTCAAAGGAAAAGAAATCATTGTAACAAAAAGACACCTGCGGTCATATGTTTGTCACAGCACTATTCACAATAGCAAAGTCATGGAATCAACCTAAGTGTCCCTCAATGAATGACTGCATTAAAAAAAGTGGCATATTCACACACATGCACATGCACACACACACACACACACACACACTCACACACCATGGAATACTATGCAGCCATAAAAAAGAATAAAAGCATGTACTTTGCAACAACGTGGATGGAGCTAAAGGCCATTATTCTAAGTGAAATAACTCAGAAACAGAAAATCCAATACCACATGTTCTCACTTATAAGTAGTATTGTACACAAAGTTCACTATTCAGGTGATGTACATACTACGCAACATATCCATGTAACAAAACCATACTTGTAACCTCTGAATCTAAAAAAATAAAAATTTAAAGAGGAAAAAAAAGACATGGAGGAAACATAAATGCATATTACTAAGGGAAAGAAACCAGTATGAAAAGACTATATACTATGTTATTCCAACTATATGACATTATGACATTCTATAAAACGCACAACTATGGAAACAGTAAAAAGATCGGCAGTTCCCAGGAGTTAGGTAAGAAGGAGGGAGGAATAGGAAGGCCACAAAGGATGGGTAGGGCAGTGAAATTCTTCTGTATGTTTCTAAAGCTGCAGATAAAGGTCACTATACATACATCAGTCAACATTCATACAATATACAACACCAAGAGTGAACCATAATGTAAACTATGGACTTTGAGTGACAATGATATGTCAGTATGGGTTCATCAATTGTGACAAATGTACCACTCTGAGGGGGGATAGTTGATAATGGGGGGTTATAAATGTGTGGGGCAGGGAGTCTACGGAAAATCTCTGTACCTTCCTCTCAATTTTGCTGTGAACCTAAAACTGCTCTAAAAAATAAAGGCTTTTTAAAAATGTAAGAAAATAAAATTTTTAATCAATTCACAAATGTATTTTTTCATTACAAAAGCAATTATCAGTGAAAATATTCAAACAATACATAGGTAATGACTGTTAATAGTTTGGTTTCTAAAGATTTCTATAGATATAAATTAATATAAATAGGTATAGATGCAAAAATTGAGGCCAAAGTGATTAATGTGACAAATGTGACTATGGCCATACTGATAACAATTAGGTATCACAACATTACCAAAAGTAAATCCATATTACAATTATGTTCCTTTGGACTTCACTCCTTCTAACATGTTTCTAAAATCAGAACACCTCAAAGAAAACAGAATAGTTTTTTGAGGGAGGAGGTTTACAAAACCAAGAATATGTAATATTACTAATTTACAGCATTATATATTCTAGGTCTACATAGAGGATTCAGTTGCTTGAAATGAATTAGCCTAAAATCCTCACAGAAGTATTTAAATGTAAAATGTAATGATGAACTTTAAAAACATAGCAACTATTGATGCAGTTAAATTAAAAGATGAGTCTATTTTATCCACATGCAACTTTGCAAATGATATTTCTTTCCCTCCAAATGAATCCTAAACTCTAAAGATGGTCTAGAATTTTCATCTGAAGGCATATCTTATCAGGTAACAATATCCCAGGAATTCTTTTGATTCAAAAACTTGATCAAACCAGAAACCTTCCAGAAAGTCAATGTAAAACACTAGAGTCTAACGAAAATTAATAGAGAATTATAAAAGAGAATGAACAGTTCCCTTAAATATATCTAATAAAATTAGAGAATATAAAAAGAGAATGAGTTATTTCTCTTTGATAGTCCCTTGTGGCATAATTTTTTGGAAATCTGTAATGGTGGAGCTATCTAGGTTATTTTCTGGAAATATACAGATGGCTGCAATGAAAGAGAAGTATGTACCACAAGGAAGACCTATAGGGAAGCTTAGAAGAGCCCCTTTAGATTGGGGTAGCCAAGGAGATGCTCAGAATCAGTTGACACACAGGTAACAGCTGCCAGATAAAGTTGCCACAACATAAGTTTTGTTAAAGAAAGCTAGATAAACAATTGCCAAATCACATAAGTTTTGTTAAAGATACTCTAACTTTAATTTCAAAAACTTGGAACACAATCTAACTTAGATGATTTGGTTTAAGGAAATCAGAATGTCACCAGAATGTGGTAAGAAACACGTGAGAACAGTATGCTCAAAAGTTATTGGCAATGTATCGGCTGGGCACGGTGGCTCACGCCTGTAATCCCAGCACTTTGGGAGGCCGAGGCGGGCAGATCACGAGGTCAAGAGATTGAGACCATCTGGCCAACGCAGTGAAACCCCGTCTCTACTAAAAATACAAAAATTATCTGGGCATGGTGGCGCGTGCCTGTAGTCCCAGCTACTCGAGAGGCTGAGGCAGGAGAATTGCTTGAATCCAGGAGGCAGAGGTTGCAGTGGGCTGAGATCATGCCACTGCACTCCAGTCTGGCGGCAGAGCAAGACTGCGTCTCAAAAAAAAAAAAAAAAAAAAGAATTAATCTACAGAAATATTTTTCCAAATATACAAAGACACATGAAGTTTCAATGCAGTATTATTTGTTACAGAAAAAGAAATGTCTATCAATCAGGAATTGGTCAAATAGACTAATAATTTTATATATATTCATACAGTGCATTGTCATGCAACCATTAAACTAATAAGTATCCCGGTAAATACTGATAAAGGTAAAAAGCCATCATGATAAATTGGAAACCTGTTAAATGGAAAAATAAACATCCAGAACAACATGTACAGACCAGTGCTATTTTTGCAGCTATAGATATGAGTGTGTCTGTGTATGTGTGTGTGTGAGTCTGTGTGTGTGAGTCTGTGTGTGTGTGTGTGTGAGAGAGAGAGAGGATTCTGGAAGGATACACCATCAGGTTGTCTTTAGGAGGTTGGGAAGGGTTTTCGTTTTCACACTGATACACCTATACTATGGTTTGCATTTTTAATCATAAGCATGTATGAGAATTCCTAACTAGAAATAGGAAATTCTGTTAGCTAATAAATAAAACAGCATCTCTAAAGGCAAAATCTCTACCATGTTTAAGGGCATTAAAACAGCAAATGAGCAAATAACTTACCCCAATGTAACAAAACCACACAGAATTTTTGACAAATCATCTTACTTCAGAGAAGTACACCTGGAAAAGGTAAATCTAAAATCAGAACACACACAAAAACAAAAACACATATATATAAGTTGTCTGTGGAAAACATAAAAGGAAAGGGATTATAGATAAGTCTCTAAATTTACATGTGATACTCTAGATCAATATCTGAGAAATATCTCACGTAAAATTAGGCTACAGATTTATTCCTGTACGCATCCTATCTTACATCATTAAAAATACAAGTCGAAAAAATTTAAACTGAATGTTCCTTTATGCCATAACAAACCAGGACAGGTATCACGGGATAAGACTGAAATTTTAACTAAATGCAAGTGCTCACAATGTTGATAAAATATGTAACAGCTAATTTAACATCATTAATATCACCGTCTTCAATTTCTTTCATGCTCAGGTCTTAAAATTTCCCTGTTTTCTAAAGTCTTTATCTTTACTATGATATTGTAAGGCCAAATAATTATTGCATAGGTAACAACTGCCTATTTATTTCCAATAAAGAGGAGAAATTTTACCAGTAGACCTTTGGAAACCTATTGTTTATTTGCAGATGAGGTAATATTGGAGAGTTAGAATAATTAAAAGTCTGGTGGCTTAATATACCCACATGAAGTCCGACTTCAGAGACAAGATTTCCTATGAGTTCTACTCAAGTTGGAGTATCACAAATATGATTATTTGTACTACTATGTCATAAATCCAAATAGTAGTATAATTTTAATATATGTGGCTTGGACTTTGGATGAAAACCTACCTGAATTAGGCATCAGGAGTGTTGGGTGCCAGGCTAAGCTCTTCCGGTAATCAGCTGTGGGACTTGGGTTTTCAACACTCTAGACCTCAGGTTCCTCATCTACAAATCAGACTGTTAGATGGTCTCTACAACCCCTTTCAGAGCTGCCTATTATTCTGAGAGATGTAATTTAAAATGGAAACCACACTTTACCACAAAGAATAGTGTAAAACATTAAGAAACGGATTCACGGAGGAGCCAAGATGGCCGAATAGGAACAGCTCCGGTCTACAGCTCCCAGCATGAGCAACGCAGAAGACGGGTGATTTCTGCATTTCCATCTGAGGTACCGGGTTCATCTCACTAGGGAGTGCCAGACAGTGGGCGCAGGCCAGTGGGTGCACGCACCGTGTGCGAGCCGAAGCAGGGCGAGGCATTGCCTCACCTGGGAAGCGCAAGGGGTCAGGGAGTTCCCTTTCCGAGTCAAAGAAAGGGGTGACGGACGCACCTGGAAAATCGGGTCACTCCCACCCGAATACTGCGCTTTTCTGACTGACTTAAAAAACGGCGCACCACGAGATTATATCCCACACCTGGCTCGGAGGGTCCTACGCCCACGGAATCTCGCTGATTGCTAGCACAGCAGTCTGAGATCAAACTGCAAGGCGGCAGCGAGGCTGGGGGAGGGGCGCCCACCATTGCCCAGGCTTGATCAGGTAAACAAAGCAGCGGGAAGCTCCAACTGGGTGGAGCCCACCACAGCTCAAGGAGGCCTGCCTGCCTCTGTAGGCTCCACCTCTGGGGGCAGGGCACAGACAAACAAAAAGACAGCAGTAACCTCTGCAGACTTAAATGTCCCTGTCTGACAGCTTTGAAGAGAGCAGTGGCTCTCCCAGCACGCAGCTGGAGATCTGAGAACCGGCAGACTGCCTCCTCAAGTGGGTTCCTGACCCCTGACCCCCGAGCAGCCTAACTGGGAGGCACCCCCCAGCAGGAGCACCCTGACACCTCACACGGCAGGGTATTCCAACAGACCTGCAGCTGAGGGTCCTGTCTGTTAGAAGGAAAACTAACAAACAGAAAGGACATCCACACCGAAAACCCATCTGTACATCACCATCATCAAAGACCAAAAGTAGATAAAACCACAAAGATGGGGAAAAAACAGAACAGAAAAACTGGAAACTCTAAAACGCAGAGCGTCTCTCCTCCTCCAAAGGAACGCAGTTCCTCACCAGCAACGGAACAAAGCTGGATGGAGAATGACTTTGACGAGCTGAGAGAAGAAGGCTTCAGACGATCAAATTACTCTGAGCTACGGGAGGACATTCAAACCAAAGGCAAAGAAGTTGAAAACTTTGAAAAAAATTTAGAAGAATGTATAACTAGAATAACCAATACAGAGAAGTGCTTAAAGGAGCTGATGGAGCTGAAAACCAAGGCTCGAGAACTACGTGAAGAATGCAGAAGCCTCAGGAGCCGATGCGATCAACTGGAAGAAAGGGTATCAGCGATGGAAGATGAAATGAATGAAATGAAGCGAGAAGGGAAGTTTAGAGAAAAACGAATAAAAAGAAATGAGCAAAGCCTCCAAGAAATATGGGACTATGTGAAAAGACCAAATCTACGTCTGATTGGTGTACCTGAAAGTGATGGGGAGAATGGAACCAAGTTGGAAAAAACTCTGCAGGATATTATCCAGGAGAACTTCCCCAATCTAGCAAGGCAGGCCAACGTTCAGATTCAGGAAATACAGAGAACGCCACAAAGATACTCCTCGAGAAGAGCAACTCCAAGACACATAATTGTCAGATTCACCAAAGTTGAAATGAAGGAAAAAATGTTAAAGGCAGCCAGAGAGAAAGGTCGGGTTACCCTCAAAGGGAAGCCCATCAGACTAACAGCGGATCTCTCATCAGAAACCCTACAAGCCAGAAGAGAGTGGGGGCCAATATTCAACATTCTTAAAGAAAAGAATTTTCAACCCAGAATTTCATATCCAGCCAAACTAAGCTTCATAGGTGAAGGAGAAATAAAATCCTTTACAGACAAGCAAATGCTGAGAGATTTTGTCACCACCAGGCCTGCCCTAAAAGAGCTCCTGAAGGAAGCACTAAACATGGAAAGGAACAACCGGTACCAGCCGCTGCAAAATCATGCCAAAATGTAAAGACCATCGAGACTAGGAAGAAACTGCATCAACTAACGAGCAAAATCACCAGCTAACATCATAATGACAGGATCAAATGCACACATAACAATATTAACTTTAAATGTAAATGGACTAAATGCTCCAATGAAAAGACACAGACTGGCAAATTGGATAAAGAGTCAAGACCCATCAGTGTGCTGTATTCAGGAAACCCATCTCATGTGCAGAGACACACATAGGCTCAAAATAAAAGGATGGAGGAAGATCTACCAAGCAAATGGAAAACAAAAAAAGGCAGGGGTTGCAATCCTAGTCTCTGATAAAACAGACTTTAAACCAACAAAGATCAAAAGAGACAAAGAAGGCCATTACATAATGGTAAAGGGATCAATTCAACAAGAAGAGCTAACTATCCTAAATATATATGCACCCAATACAGGAGCACCCAGATTCATAAAGCAAGTCCTGAGTGACCTACAAAGAGACTTAGACTCCCACGCATTAATAATGGGAGACTTTAACACCCCACTGTCAACATTAGACAGATCAACGAGATAGAAAGTCAACAAGGATACCCAGGAATTGAACTCAGCTCTGCACCAAGCGGACCTAATAGACATCTACAGAACTCTCCAACCCAAATCAACAGAATATACATTTTTTTCAGCACCACACCACACCTATTCCAAAATTGACCACATAGTTGGAAGTAAAGCTCTCCTCAGCAAATGTAAAAGAACAGAAATTATAACAAACTATCTCTCAGACCACAGTGCAATCAAACTAGAACTCAGGATTAAGAATCTCACTCAAAGCCGCTCAACTACATGGAAACTGAACAACCTGCTCCTGAATGACTACTGGGTACATAACGAAATGAAGGCAGAAATAAAGATGTTCTTTGAAACCAACGAGAACAAAGACACAACATACCAGAATCTCTGGGACGCATTCAAAGCAGTGTGTAGAGGGAAATTTATAGCACTAAATGCCCACAAGAGAAAGCAGGAAAGATCCAAAATTGACACCCTAACATCACAATTAAAAGAACTAGAAAAGCAAGAGCAAACACATTCAAAAGCTAGCAGAAGGCAAGAAATATGTAAAATCAGAGCAGAACTGAAGGAAATAGAGACACAAAAAACCCTTCAAAAAATCAATGAATCCAGGAGCTGGTTTTTTGAAAGGATCAACAAAATTGATAGACCACTAGCAAGACTAATAAAGAAAAAAAGAGAGAAGAATCAAATAGACACAATAAAAAATGATAAAGGGGATATCACCACCGATCCCACAGAAATACAAACTACCATCAGAGAATACTACAAACACCTCTACGCAAATAAACTAGAAAATCTAGAAGAAATGGATAAATTCCTCAACACATACACTCTCCCAAGACTAAACCAGGAAGAAGTTGAATCTCTGAATAGACCAGTAACAGGAGCTGAAATTGTGGCAATAATCGATAGTTTACCAACCAAAAAGAGTCCAGGACCAGATGGATTCACAGCTGAATTCTACCAGAGGTACAAGGAGGAACTGGTACCATTCCTTCTGAAACTATTCCAATCAATAGAAAAAGAGGGAATCCTCCCTAACTCATTTTATGAGGCCAGCATCATTCTGATACCAAAGCTGGGCAGAGACACAACCAAAAAAGAGAATTTTAGACCAATATCCTTGATGAACATTGATGCAAAAATCCTCAATAAAATACTGGCAAACCGAATCCAGCAGCACATCAAAAAGCTTATCCACCATGATCAAGTGGGCTTCATCCCTGTGATGCAAGGCTGGTTCAATATACACAAATCAATAAATGTAATCCAGCATATAAACAGAGCCAAAGACAAAAACCACATGATTATCTCAATAGATGCAGAAAAAGCCTTTGACAAAATTCAACAACCCTTCATGCTAAAAACTCTCAAGAAATTAGGTATTGATGGGACGTATTTCAAAATAATAAGAGCTATCTATGACAAACCCACAGCCAATATCATACTGAATGGGCAAAAACTGGAAGCATTCCCTTTGAAAACTGGCACAAGACAGGGATGCCCTCTCTCACCACTCCTATTCAACATAGTGTTGGAAGTTCTGGCCAGGGCAATTAGGCAAGAGAAGGAAATAAAGGGTATCCAATTAGGAAAAGAGGAAGTCAAATTGTCCCTGTTTGCAGATGACATGATTCTATATCTAGAAAACCCCATTGTCTCAGCCCAAAATCTCCTTAAGCTGATAAGCAACTTCAGCAAAGTCTCAGGATACAAAATCAATGTACAAAAATCACAAGCATTCTTATACACCAACAACAGACAAACAGAGAGCCAAATCATGAGTGAACTCCCATTCACAATTGCTTCAAAGAGAATAAAATACCTAGGAATCCAACTTACAAGGGATGTGAAGGACCTCTTCAAGGAGAACTACAAACCACTGCTCAAGGAAATAAAAGAGGATACAAACAAATGGAAGAACATTCCATGCTCATGGGTAGGAAGAATCAATATCGTGAAAATGGCCATACTGCCCAAGGTCATTTACAGATTCAATGCCATCCCCATCAAGCTACCAATGACTTTCTTCACAGAATTGGAAAAAACTACTTTCAAGTTCATATGGAACCAAAAAAGAGCCCGCATCACCAAGTCAATCCTAAGCCAAAAGAACAAAGCTGGAGGCATTACACTACCTGACTTCAAACTGTACTACAAGGCTACAGTAACCAAAACAGCATGGTACTGGT
The DNA here is from genome assembly GCF_000001405.40 of Homo sapiens. Lineage (NCBI taxonomy): Eukaryota > Metazoa > Chordata > Mammalia > Primates > Hominidae > Homo > Homo sapiens. The sequence goes on along the minus strand of NC_000001.11, from coordinate 65,559,923 downwards.
ACCAAAACAGAGATATAGATCAATGGAACAGAACAGAGCCCTCAGAAATAATGCCGCATACCTACAACTATCTGATCTTTGACAAACCTGAGAAAAACAAGCAATGGGGAAAGGATTCCCTATTTAATAAATGGTGCTGGGAAAACTGGCTAGCCATATGTAGGAAGCTGAAACTGGATCCCTTCCTTACACCTTACACAAAAATCAATTCAAGATGGATTAAAGATTTAAACGTTAGACCTAAAACCATAAAAACCCTAGAAGAAAACCTAGGCATGACCATTCAGGACATAGGCATGGGCAAGGACTTCATGTCCAAAACACCAAAAGCAATGGCAACAAAAGCCAAAATTGACAAATGGGATCTAATTAAACTAAAGAGCTTCTGCACAGCAAAAGAAACTACCATCAGAGTGAACAGGCAACCTACAAAATGGGAGAAAATTTTCACAACCTACTCATCTGACAAAGGGCTAATATCCAGAATCTACAATGAACTCCAACAAATTTACAAGAAAAAAACAAACAACCCCATCAAAAAGTGGGCGAAGGACATGAACAGACACTTCTCAAAAGAAGACATTTATGCAGCCAAAAAACACATGAAAAAATGCTCATCATCACTGGCCATCAGAGAAATGCAAATCAAAACCATAATGAGATACCATCTCACACCAGTTAGAATGGCAATCATTAAAAAGTCAGGAAACAACAGGTGCTGGAGAGGATGTGGAGAAATAGGAACACTTTTACACTGTTGGTGGGACTCTAAACTAGTTCAACCATTGTGGAAGTCAGTGTGGCGATTCCTCAGGGATCTAGAACTAGAAATACCATTTGACCCAGCCATCCCATTACTGGGTATATACCCAAATGACTATAAATCATGCTGCTATAAAGACACATGCACACGTATGTTTATTGCGGCATTATTCACAATAGCAAAGACTTGGAACCAACCCAAATGTCCAACAATGATAGACTGGATTAAGAAAATGTGGCACATATACACCATGGAATACTATGCAGCCATAAAAAATGATGAGTTCATGTCCTTTGTAGGGACATGGATGAAATTGGAAATCATCATTCTCAGTAAACTATCGCAAGAACAAAAAACCAAACACTGCATATTCTCACTCATAGGTGGGAACTGAACAATGAGATCACATGGACACAGGAAGGGGAATATCACACTCTGGGGACTGTTGTGGGGTGGGGGGAGGGGGGAGGGATAGCATTGGGAGATATACCTAATGCTAGATGACAAGTTAGTGGGTGCAGCGCACCAGCATGGCACATGTATACATATGTAACTAACCTGCACAATGTGCACATGTACCCTAAAACTTAAAGTATAAAAAAAAAAAAAAACAAAAAAAAAACAAAAAAAAAAACTTCTGATTCAAAAAAAAAAAAAAACATTAAGAAACATGTCTCATGACTCATATCTGAGAATTGGCACCATATGATAAGTGAGAATTGGCACCACATGATAAGTAAATGGAAAAAAGTGTTTGTTTATTTTACAACTTACTATCAGGAAGAAAATAAATGAGTATAAACAGTGGGTAGTCCAGTAAATTTGTTTTTCACACTACAAGTTTGTCATCAGAATTTTTGTTCTTTATACACTGATATCACAATGGTTCTTTAGGATTTCTAGAAATCAGTACACTGTTTGGAACCCTCATGATTTAATTATATTAAATGAGTACAAATTCCTCCCTGCTTTTTATGCTACCTGTTCTTGATATAAGATGTTCTCATAAAATAAACTCAAGGGCAAGTTTTATAGTCAAGATGTGTCACAGATACAACATATCACTGGATTGCTTTGATGAAACTTACTAGTGACTATAGTAATTCAGTTCAACAAATGATTTGGCTTGTTTTTAACTCACCTGGTCTCCTCAGTTAAGTGATCAAATAGATCAGCAGTTTTCCTTACATAAAACAACCACTTCTTTATTTAATGTTCCATGCAAAACACAAACTATTCTGATGGTTTGGATTCGTGGAATCAGGTTTCATTCTTAAATAACAGAGAAACAATCACAAGTGTAAAAAGGACATAGACACAACCTTGAAGAGACAGTGAAAGGTGGTATCTGACATAGATTCAATGAGAGAAACATGCACCCTAAACTGTACAAAAAGGAATATAAAGAAGTTTTTTAAAACACAAATAATACAGAAAAAGAGGCTGGGTGCAGTGGCTCAAACCTGCAATCCCAGCACTTTGGGAGGCCAAGGCGGGTGGATCACTTGAGGTCGGGAGTTCAAGACCAGCCTGGCCAACATAGTGAAACACTGTCTCTACTAAAAATACAAAAAGTAGCTGGGTGTGGTGGCGTGTTCCTGTAATCCCAGCTACTTGGGAGGCTGAAGCAAGAGAATCACTTGAACCCGGGAGGTGAAGGTTGCAGTGAGCTGAGATCACACCACTGCACTCCAGCCTGGATGACAAAGTGAGACTCTGTCTAAATAAAAGACAGAAAAAGTGACAGAAATTTTTTAAATTGGTGAAAAAAGAATGAAGCAAAGGGAAAATTAAAGATAGGATGACCAAAATAAGCCTAATACACCAAACACCATTAATATGAAGACACTTCCTAAGGATGAACCATTAATTTGTTCTAACTTTTCTTATGGTTGTATTGTTCAATTATAAATTCTGAGTAGTTAAAATGAAATGAACAGTTTAGGAGAAGAGTACAAATAATCCTAACACTAAGAAAATTATTGATTAATTTTATAAAATAACAGCTAACATCCTCATGAACATCCTAATAATACCAGAGTTTCAAAGCAATTTCAAAATTTAATAATTTGTCACCCTCTCCACTACCAATACCCTGTTCTATGCCACAATTATTTCTTCCCGGAACTATCAGAAGAGGCTCTCTACTTCTGTCCTTGCTCCCCAGTTCAGTCAGTTATCAACATAGCAGTTAAAGTGATCTTCTTAACACAGATCAGATCATGTCTCTCTAACACAGTAGTCACAGTGATCTTATTAACACATTGACCAGATCATGTCTCTCTTTCTCAAAGCACTACAGCCCTCTCCTGTCACTTGTAGTAAAAGTCCAAGTCCTGAACAGGACTACAAGGTCCCAGATCCCACTCGTCATCCACTGCTCTCCCCACCACTCAACTCACCTTCTAAAGGAGCCTGCCCTGGCCATCCCATCTGAAATTTTAGCACCTCCCCCATGCCAACATGCACAAAAGCAACCTTCAAAGAGGCATTCTCCTATCATCCAGATACAGCTGTTTGAGAATCTGGCATAATAGCAAGAAGGATTTCAAAATGGTGATTCTTAACCATTTTTTGGAACATGGACCTGACTGAGAATTTGGTGAAAGAAGTGTATCAACGCCATGAGGAAGCACATACAACTAAAATTAGGGCTATAATTTCAAGGGGTTAACAATCCCTTGAAATTTCTCCAGGATTAAGAATTCCTGATATAGATAAATAAATGTAATGCACATTCCACAAGTAGAGCTGCATGAACTGAGCCAGTCACAGACATCACACTATGAAGAGGTGAGATAATACTGCCTAACATTCCCCTGGAATGCAGTTTTCTTCATTCATTTGGGCTGCTATAACAAAATACCACGAACTCAGTGGCTTATAAAGAAAGGAAATGTATTGCTCACAATTCTGGAGGCTGGAAAGTCCAAGATCAACATGCCAGCAGATTCAATCTCTGGTGAAGGACTACTTCTCATAGATGGTGCCTTCTTGCCATGTCTTCACATGGCAGAAGGGGTGAACAAGCTCCGCTGCAGCCTCTTTTATAAGGGCACTAATCCCATTCATGAGGGCTCCACCCTCATGACCTAATAACCTCCTAAAGGCCCCACCTCTTAATGCTATTGCATTGGTAATTAGGTTTCAACATATGAATTCTGTGGTGGCACAAACATTCAGACCACAGTAGTAGTCATTCTCTGTTGACAGTTAAAAGGAGTAATGTGCCTTAGCAGTCATTCAAAAAGACGGAGGGTTGACATCCTCACATGACATGGAAACATGCCAAACAGACTACCCTCTATCCCAATCACCACTGACAATACTTAGAACTGGGCTAGGGTAAGGAAAGGGCTTAATCAATTCTCATTAGAAAATCATTGTGGCTCTACTCTCACAACAAAAATGAATGTTGCAAAAGTTCTCTATCATGGCAGAAACAAGTATAGCTTGAAAACATTTTTCAAAGAAAAATAAGCAAATTCCCATTATTGCCATAATAAATTATCATAAGGTAATTATAATTACAGATTTGAGCAGTGTAGACCCCTGTGCCCACTTCCAAAGTAAACTAATTGAAAAATGTACACTAATATGACTGGTCTTACAGACCAGATACAAGTATAAGATGTCTATTAAAAATAACAGTTTAATAATATGTGCTCCATAACCCTACTTTTCAGAAATATTAACAGGGAGTCTACTGTGGCCATTCTTAGAATTCAATTATTCACCACAGCTCTTTCAAGTCACCGCACCACATGACTCTTTCCTCTGAATCAGATTCTGCAGGAGAACCATTCATCCAGGTGATATGTGGGTCTCAAACTGATTGCTGAAGTTGACAAATTATTTCTATACAAATAGCACATTTTTTATATGCTGTGCATTCTGTTAGTCAGCTTCTTATGTGAGAACATGCTATTGCTGTTCTCATGCTAAATAAATTTAGCAAGAAGAACACAAAAAAAGAACAGGCGGGGGTGGCTGGCAAGATGGCTGAATAGGAACAGCTCTGGTCTGTAGCTCCCAGGGAGATCAACGCAGGAGGCAGGTGATTTCTGCATTTCCAACTGAGGTACCCGGCTCATCTCATTCCTACTGGTTAGACAGTGGGTGCCGCCCACGGAGGGTGAGCTGAAGCAGGATGGGGCGTTGGCTCATCCAGGAAGTGCAAGGGATCAAGAAACTCCCTCCCCTAGCCAAGGGAAGCCATGAAGGACTGTGCCGTGAGGGACAGTGCACTCTGGCCCAGATATTATGCTTTTCCCATGGCCTTCCCAACCCACAGACCAGGAGATTCCCTCGGGTGCCTACACCACCAGGGCCCTGGGTTTCAAGCACAAAAGTGGTCAGCCATTTGGGCAGACACCAAACTAGTTGCAGGAGTTTTTTTTTTCATACCCCAGCAGTGCCTGGAATGCCAGCAAGACAGACAGAACCGTTCACTTCCCCGGAAAGGCTGAAGCCAGGGAGTCAAATGGTCTAGCTCAGCGGATACCACCCCCATGGAGCCCAGCAAGCTAAGATCCACTGGCTTGAAATTCTCCCTGCCAGCACAGCAGAAATCGACCTGGGACACTCAAGCTTGGTGGGGGAAGGAATGTCCGTCATTACTGAGGCTTGAATAGGCAGTTTTCCCCTCACAGTGTAAACAAGGTCTCTGGGAAGTTTGAACTGGGTGGAGCCCACTGCTGCACACAAAGCCTCTGTAGCCAGACTGCCTCTCTAGATTCCTCCTCTCTGGGCAGGGCATCTCTGAAAGAAAGGCAGCAGCCCCAGTCAGGGGCTTATAGATAAAACTCCCATCTCCCTGGGACACAGCATTCTCCCTGGGGGAAGAATGTGGCTGTGGACACAGCTTCAGCAGACTTAAACATTCCTGCCTGATGGCTCTGAAGAGAGCAGTGGATCCCCCAGCACAGCGCTTCAGCTTTACTAAAGGACAGGCTGCCTCCTCAAATGGGTTCCTAACCACCCTGCCTCTTGACTGAGAGACACCTCCCAGCAGGGGTCAACAGACACCTCATACAGGAGAGCTCCAGCTGGCATCTGGTGGGTACCCCTCTGGGACGAAGCTGCCAGAGAAAGGAACAGGCAGGAATCTTTGCTGGTCTGCAGCCTCCGCTGGTGATACCCAGGCAAACAGGGTCTGGAGTGAACCTCAAGCAAACTCCATCAGACCTGCAGCAGAAGGGCCTGACTGGTAGAAGGAAAACTAACACACAGAAAGGAATAGCATCAACATCAGCAAAAAGGATTCCACAGAAAAACGCCATTCAAAGGTCACCAACATCAAAGACCAAAGTTAGATAAATCCATGAAGATGAGGAAAAACGAGCACAAAGAGGCTTAAAATTCCAAAAACCAGAATGCCGCTTCTCATTTAAAGGATCACAACTCCTCACCAGGAAGGGAACAGAATGAGTTTGATGAATTGACAGAAGTAGGCTTCAGAAGGTGGGTAATAACAAACTCCTTTGAGCTAAAGAAGCATGTTCTAACCCAATGCAAGGAAGCTAAGAATGTTGAAAAAAGGTTAGAGGAATTGCGAACTAGAAAAACCAGTATATAGAAGAACATAAATGACCTGATGGAGCTGAAAAACACAGCATGAGAACTTTGTAAAGCATACACAGGTATCAATAGCCAAATTGAACAAGCGGAAGAAAGGATGTCAGAGATTGAAGATCAACTTAATGAAATAAAGCATGAAGACAAGATTAAAAAAAAAGAATGCAAAGAAATGAACTAAGCCTCCAAGAAATATGGGACTATGTGAAAAGACCAAACCTATGTTTGATTGGTGTACCTGAAAGTGATGGGGAGAACAGAACCAAGTTGGAAAACACTCTGCAGGATATTATCCAGGAGAACTTCCCCAACCTAGTAAGACAGGCCAACATTCAAATTCAAGAAATACGAGAACACCACAAAGATACTCCTCGAGAAGAGCAACCTGAAGACATATAATCGTCAAATTCACCAAGGTTGAAATGAAGGAAAAAACGTCAAGGGCAGCCAGAGAGAAAGGTCAAGTTACCCACAAAGGGAAGCCCATCAGACTAACAGTGGATATGTCTGCAGAAACTCTACAAGCCAGAAGAGAGTGGGGGCCAATATTCAACATTCTTAAAGAAAAGAACTTTCAACCCAGGATTTCATATCCAGCCAAATTAAGCTTCATAAGTGAAGGAGAAATAAAATCCTTTACAGACAAGCAAATGCTGAGAGATTCTGTCACCACCAGGCCTGCCTTAAAAGAGCTCCTGAAGGAAGCACTAAACATGGAAAGGAAAAACCAGTACCAGCCACTGTAAAAACATACCAAATAGTAAAGACCATCAACACTATGAAGAAACTGCATCAACTAATGGGCAAAACAACCAGCTAGCATCATAATGACAGGATCAAATTCACACATAACAATATTAACTTTAAATGTAAATGGGCTAAATGCCCCAATTAAAAGACACAGACTGCCAAATTGGAAAAACAGTCACGACCCATCAGTGTGCTGTATTCAGGAGACCAGTCTCACATGCCTTTGCATGTGAGACACATAGGCTCAAAATAAAGGGATGGAGGAATATTTATCAAGCAAATGGAAAGCAAAAAAGAAAAAGCAGGGGTTGCAATCCTAGTCTCCGATAAAACAGACTTTAAACCAACAAAGACCAAAAAAGACAAAAAAGAGCATGACATAATGGTAAAGGGATCAATGCAACAAGAAGAGCTAACTATCCTAAATATATGCACCCAATACAGGAGCACCCAGACTCATAAAGCAAGTTCTTAATGACCTACAAAGAGACTTAAACTGCCACATGATAATAGTGGGAAACTTTAGCACCCCACTGTCAATGTTAGACAGATCAACAAGAAAGAAAATTAACAAGCATATTCAGGACTTGAACTCAGCTCTGGACCAAGAAGACCTAATAGGCATCTACAGAACTCTCCACCCCAAATCAACAGAATATACATTCTTCTCAGCACCACATCGCGCTTATTCTAAAATTGACCACATAATTGGAAGTAAAACACTCCTCAGCAAATGCAAAAGAACAGAAATCATAACAAACTGTCTCTCAGACCACAGTGTAATCAAATTATAACTGAGGATTAAGAAACTCACTCAGAACTGCACAACTGCATGGAAACTGAACAACCTGCTCCTGAATGACTACTGGGTAAATAATGAAATTAATGCAGAAATAAAGATGTTCTTTGAAACCAGTGAGAACAAAGACACAACGTACCAGAATCTCTGGGACATATATAAAGCGGTGTTTAGAGGGAAATTTATAGCACTAAATGCCCACAAGAGAAAGCAGGAAAGATCTAAAATTGACACCCTATCATCACAATTAAAAGAACTAGAGAAGCAAGAGCAGACAAATTCAAAAGCTAGCAGAAGACAAGAAATAACTAAGATCAGGGCAGAACTGAAGGAGATAGAGACACGAAAAACCCTTCAAAAACTCAGTGAATCCAGGAGCTGGATTTTTGAAAAGATCAACAAAATAGACCACTAGCCAGACTAATAAAGAAGAAAAGAGAGAAGAATCAAATAGACACAATAAAAAATGATAAAGGGTATATCACCACTGATCCCACAGAAATACAAACTACCACCAGAAAATACTATAAACACCTCTATGCAAATAAACTAGAAAATCTAGAAGAAATGGATAAATTCCTAGACCCATACACCTCCCAAGACTAGGAAGAAGTCAAATCCCTGAATAGACCAAAAACAGGGTCTGAAATTGAGCCAGTAATTAATAGCCTACCAACCAAAAAAGGCCCAGGACCAGACAGATTCACAGCCGAATTCTACCAGAGGTACAAAGAGGAGCTGGTACCATTCCTTCTGAAATTATTCTAAACAACAGGAAAAGAGGGATTCCTCCATAACTCGTTTATGAGGCCCGCATCATCCTGATACTAAAACCTGGCATAGACAAAACAAAAAAAGAAAATTTCAGGCCAATATCCCTGATGAACATTGGTGCAAAGATCCTCAATAAAATACTGGCAAAAAGAATCCAGCAGCACATCAAAAAGCTCATCCACCACGATGAAGTCGGCTTCATCTCTAGGATGCAAGGCTGCTTCAACATACACAAATCAATAAACATAATCTATCACATAAACAGAACCAATGACAAAAACCACATGATGGGGGGAGGAGCCAAGGTGGCCGAATAGGAACAGCTCTGGTCTACAGCTCCCAGTGTGAGCCACGCAGAAGACGGGTGATTTCTGCATTTCCATCTGAGGTACCGGGTTCATCTCACTAGGGAGTGCCAGACAGTGGGTGCAGGACAGTGGGTGCAGCGCGCTGTGCGCGAGCCAAAGCAGGGCAAGGCATTGCCTCACTCAGGAAGCGCAAGGGGTCAGGGAGTTCCCTTTCCCGGTCAAGGAAAGAGGTGACAGACGGCACCTGGAAAATCGGGTCACTCCCACCTGAATACTGAGCTTTTCCGACAGGCTTAGGAAAGGGCGCACCAGGAGAATTATAGCCCGCACTTGGTTCGGAGGGTCCTACGCCCACGGAGTCTCGCTGATTGCTAGCACAGCAGTCTGAGATCAAACTTCAAGGCGGCAGCGAGGCTGGGGCAGGGGCACCCGCCATGGCCCAGGCTCCCTTAGGTAAACAAAACAGCCAGGAAGCTCGAACTGGGTGGAGCCCACCACAGCTCAAGGAGGCCTGCCTGCCTCTGTAGGCTCCACCTCTGGGGGCAGGGCACAGACAAACAAAAAGACAGCAGTAACCTCTGCAGACTTAAATGTTCCTGTCTGACAGCGTTGAAGAGAGCAGTGGTTCTCCCAGCACGCAGCTGGAGACCTGAGAACGGGCAGACTGCCTCCTCAAGTGGGTCCCTGACCCCTGACCCCCGAGCAGCCTAACTGGGAGGCACCCCCCAGTAGGGGCAGACCGACACCTCCCACGGCCGGGTACTCCTCTGAGACAAAACTTCCAGAGGAAGGATCAGACAGCAGCATTCGCGGTTCACGAAAATCCGCGGTTCTGCAGACACTGCTGCTGATACCCAGGCAAACAGGGTCTGGAGTGGACCTCTAGCAAACTCCAACAGACCTGCAGCTGAGGGTCCTGTCTGTTAAAAGGAAAACTAACAAACAGAAAGGACATCCACACCAAAAACCAATCTGTACATCACCATCAGCAAAGACCAAAAGTAGATAAAACCACAAAGATGGGGAAAAAACAGAGCAGAAAAACTGGAAACTCTAAAAAGCAGAGCGCCTCTCCTCCTCCAAAGGAACGCAGTTCCTCACCAGCAACAGAACAAAGCTGGATGGAGAATGACTTTGACGAGGTGAGAGAAGAAAGCTTCAGACGATCAAACTACTCCGAGCTACAGGAGGAAATTCAAACCAAAGGCAAAGAAGTTGAAAACTTTGAAAAAAATTTAGACAAATGTATAACTAGAATAACCAATACAGAGAAGTGCTTAAAGGAGCTGATAGAGCTGAAAGCCAAGGCTCGAGAACTACGTGAAGAATGCAGAAGCCTCAGGAGCCAATGCGATCAACTGGAAGAAAGGGTATCAGTGATGGAAGATGAAATGAATGAAATGAAGCGAGAAGGGAAGTTTAGAGAAAAAAGAATAAAAAGAAACGAACAAAGCCTCCAAGAAATATGGGACTATGTGAAAAGACCAAATCTGCGTCTGATTGGTGTACCTGAAAGTGACCAACTTGGAGAATGGAACCAAGTTGGAAAACACTCTGCAGGATATTATCCAGGAGAACTTCCCCAATCTAGCAAGGCAGGCCAACATTCAGATTCAGGAAATACAGAGAACGCCACAAAGATACTCCTCGAGAAGAGCAACTCCAAGACACATAATTGTCAGATTCACCAAAGTTGAAATGAAGGAAAAAATGTTAAGGGCAGCCAGAGAGAAAGGTCGGGTTACCCACAAAGGGAAGCCCATCAGACTAACAGCGGATCTCACGGCAGAAACTCTACAAGCCAGAAGAGAGTGGGGACCAATATTCAACATTCTTAAAGAAAAGAATTTTCAACCCAGAATTTCATATCCAGCCAAACTAAGCTTCATAAGTGAAGGAGAAATAAAATACTTTACAGACAAGCAAATGCTGAGAGATTTTGTCACCACCAGGCCTGCCCTGAAAGAGCTCCTGAAGGAAGCACTAAACATGGAAAGGAACAACTGGTACCAGCCACTGCAAAATCATGCCAAATTGTAAAGACCTTCGAGGCTAGGAAGAAACTGCATCAACTAATGAACAAAATAACCAGCTAACATCATAATGACAGGACCAAATTCACACATAACGATATTAACTTTAAATGTAAATGGACTAAATGCTCCAATTAAAAGACACAGACTGGAAAATTGGATAAAGAGTCAAGACCCATCAGTGTGCTGTATTCAGGAAACCCATCTCACATGCAGAGACACACATAGGCTCAAAATAAAAGGACGGAGGAGGATCTACCAAGCAAATGGAAAACAAAAAAAGACCGGGGTTGCAATCCTAGTCTCTGATAAAACAGACTTTAAACCAACAAAGATCAAAAGAGACAAAGAAGGCCATTACATAATGGTAAAGGGATCAATTCAACAAGAAGAGCTAACTATCTTAAATATATATGCACCCAATACAGGAGCACCCAGATTCATAAAGCAAGTCCTGAGTGACCTACAAAGAGACTTAGACTCCCACACAATAATAATGGGAGACTTTAACACCCCACTGTCAACATTAGACAGATCAACGACAGAGAAAGTTAACAAGGATACCCAGGAATTGAACTCACCTCTGCACCAAGCAGACCTAATAGACATCTACAGAACTCTCCACCCCAAATCAACAGAATATACATTTTTTTCAGCACCACACCACACCTATTCCAAAATTGACCACATGGTTGGAAGTAAAGCTCTCCTCAGCAAATGTAAAAGAACAGAAATTATAACAAACTGTCTCTCAGACCACAGTGCAGTCAAACTAGAACTGAGGATTCAGAAACTCTCTCAAAGACACTCAACTACATGGTAACTGAACAACCTGCTCCTGAATGACTACTGGGTACATAACGAAATGAAGGCAGAAATAAAGATGTTCTTTGAAACCAACGAGAACAAAGACACAACATACCAGAATCTCTGGGACACATTCAAAGCAGTGTGTAGAGAGAAATTTATAGCACTAAATGCCCACAGGAGAAAGCAGGAAAGATCCAAAATTGACACCCTAACATCACAATTAAAAGAACTAGAAAAGCAAGAGCAAACACATTCAAAAGCCAGCAGAAGGCAAGAAATATGTAAAATCAGAGCAGAACTGAAGGAAATAGAGACACAAAAAACCCTTCAAAAAATTAATGAATCCAGGAGCTGGTTTTTTGAAAGGATCAACAAAATTGATAGACCGCTAGCAAGACTAATAAAGAAAAAAAGAGAGAAGAATCAAATAGATGCAATAAAAAATGATAAAGGGGATATCACCACCGATCTCACAGAAATACAAACTACCATCAGAGAATACTACAAACACCTCTATGCAAATAAACTAGAAAATCTAGAAGAAATGGATAAATTCCTCGACACATACACTCTCCCAAGACTAAATCAGGAAGAAGTTGAATCTCTGAATAGACCAATAACAGGATCTGAAATTGTGGCAATAATCAATAGCTTACCAACCAAAAAGAGTCCAGGACCAGATGGATTCACAGCCGAATTCTACCAGAGGTACAAGGAGGAACTGGTACCATTCCTTCTGAAACAACTCCAATCAATAGAAAAAGAGGGAATCCTCCCTAACTCATTTTATGAGGCCAGCATCATCCTGATACCAAAGCCAGGCAGAGACACAACCAAAAAAGAGAATTTTAGACCAATATCCTTGAAGAACATTGCTGCAAAAATCCTCAATAAAATACTGGCAAACCGAATCCAGCAGCACATCAAAAAGCTTATCCGCCATGATCAAGTGGGCTTCATCCCTGGGATGCAAGGCTGGTTCAATATACACAAATCAATAAATGTAATCCAGCATATAAACAGAACCAAAGACAAAAACCACATGATTATCTCAATAGATGCAGAAAAGGCCTTTGACAAAATTCAACAACCCTTCATGCTAAAAACTCTCAATAAATTAGGTATTCATGGGACATATCTCAAAATAATGAGCTATCTATGACAAATCCACAGCCAATATCATACTGAATGGGCAAAAACTGGAAGCATTCCCTTTGAAAACTGGCACAAGACAGGGATGCCCTCTCTCACCACTCCTATTCAACATAGTGTTGGAAGTTCTGGCCAGGACAATTAGGCAGGAGAAGGAAATAAAGGGTATTCAACTAGGAAAACAGGAAGTCAAATTGTCCCTGTTTGCAGATGACATGATTGTATATCTAGAAAACCCCATTGTCTCAGCCCAAAATCTCCTTAAGCTGATAAGCAACTTCGGCAAAGTCTCAGGATACAAAATCAATGTACAAAAATCGCAAGCATTCTTATACACCAATAACAGACAAACAGAGAGCCAAATCATGAGTGAACTCCCATTCAAAATTGCTTCAAAGAGAATAAAATACTTAGGAATCCAGCTTACAAGGGATGTGAAGGACCTCTTCAAGGAGAACTACAAACCACTGCTCAAGGAAATAAAAGAGGATACAAACAAATGGAAGAACATTCCATGCTCATGGGTAGGAAGAATCAATATCGTGAAAATGGCCATACTGCCCAAGGTAATTTATAGATTCAATGCCATCCGCATCAAGCTGCCAATGACTTTCTTCACAGAATTGGAAAAAACTACTTTAAAGTTCACATGGAACCAAAAAAGAGCCCGCATCGCCAAGTCAATCCTAAGCCAAAAGAACAAAGCTGGAGGCATCACTCTACCTGACTTCAAACTATACTACAAGGCTACAGTAACCAAAACAGCACGGTACTGGTACCAAAACAGAGATATAGATCAATGGAATAGAACAGAGCCCTCAGAAATAACACTGCATATCTACAACTATCTGATCTTTGACAAACCTGAGAAAAACAAGCAATGGGGAAAGGATTCCCTATTTAATAAATGGTGCTGGGAAAACTGGCTAGCCATATGTAGAAAGCTGAAACTGGATCCCTTCCTTACACCTTATACAAAAATTAATTCAAGATGGATTAAAGACTTAAACGTTAGACCTAAAACCATAAAAACCCTAGAAGAAAACCTAGGCATTACCACTCAGGACATAGGCATGGGCAAGGACTTCATGTCTAAAACACCAAAAGCAATGGCAACAAAAGCCAAAATTGACAAATGAGATCTCATTAAACTAAAGAGCTTCTGCACAGCCAAAGAAACTACCATCAGAGTGAACAGGCAACCTACAAAATGGGAGAAAATTTTCACAAACTACTCATCTGACAAAGGGCTAATATCCAGAATCTACAATGAACTCAAACTAATTTACAAGAAGAAGACAGACAACCCCATCAAAAAGTGGGCAAAGGATATGAACAGACACTTCTCAAAAGAAGACATTTATGTAGCCAAAAGACACATGAAAAAATGCTCACCATCACTGGCCATCAGAGAAATGCAAATCAAAACCACAATGAGATACCATCTCACACCAGTTAGAATGGCAATCATTAAAAAGTCAGGAAACAACAGGTGCTGGAGAGGATGTGGAGAAATAGGAACACTTTTACACTGTTGGTGGGACTCTAAACTAGTTCAACCATTGTGGAAGTCAGTGTGGCGATTCCTCAGGGATCTAGAACTAGAAATACCATTTGACCCCGCCATCCCATTACTGGGTGTATACCCAAAGGACTATAAATCATGCTGCTATAAAGACACATGCACACGTATGTTTATTGCGGCACTATTCACAATAGCAAAGACTTGGAACCAACCCAAATGTCCAACAATGATAGACTGGATTAAGAAAATGTGGCACATATACACCATGGAATACTATGCAGCCATAAAAAATGATGAGTTCATGTCCTTTGTAGGGACATGGATGAAACTGGAAATCATCATTCTCAGTAAACTATCGCAAGAACAAAAAACCAAACACCGCATATTCTCACTCATAGGTGGGAATTGAACAATGAGAACACATGGACACAGGAAGGGGAACATCACACTCTGGGGACTGTTGTGGGGTGGGGGGAGTGGGGAGGGATAGCATTAGGAGATATACCTAATGCTAAATGACGAGTTAATGGGTGCAGCACACCAGCATGGCACATGTATACATATGTAACTAACCTGCACATTGTGCACATGTACCCTAAAACTTAAAGTATAATAATAATAATAAATAAAATAAAATAAAATAAAGTTTATCAATGTTGTACCACGTATCAAAATTTCACCCCGTTTTAAGGCTGAATAATATTCTATTATATTTATATGCAAAAAAAAACCGCATGATTGTCTCAATAGATGCAGAAAAGGCCTTCGATAATATTCAACACTGCTTCATGCTAAAAACGCTCAATAAACTAGGTATTGATGGAACATATCTAAAAATAATAAGAGCTATTTATGACCCATAGCCAATATCATACTGAATGGGCAAAAGCTGGAAGCATTCCCTTTGAAAACTGGCACAAGACAAGAATGCCCTCTCTCACCACTCCTGTTCAACATAGTATTGGAAGTTCTAGCCAGGGAAATCAGGCAAGAGAAAGAAATTAAGGGTATTCAAATAGGAAGAGAGGAAATCAAATTGTCTCTGTTTGCAGAGGACATGATTGTGTATTTAGAAAACCCCATCGTCTCAGCCCAAAATCTCCTTAAGCTGATAAGCAACTTCAGCAAAGTCTCAGGATACAAAATCAATGTGTGAAAATCACAAGCATTCCTATACACCAATAATAGGCAAACAGAGCACCAAATCATGAGTGAACTCCCATTCACAATTGCTACAAAGAGAATAAAATACCTAATGACCTCTTCAAGGAAAACTACAAACCACTTCTCAAGGAAATAAGAGAGGACACAAACAAATGGAAAAACATTCCATGCACATGGATAGGAAGAATCAATATTGTGAAAACAGCTATACTGCCCAAAGTAATTTATAGATTCAGTGCTATCCCCATCAAGCCACCATTGACTTTCTTTAAAGAATTTTAAAAACTACTTTAAATTTCATATGGAACCAAAAGAGAGCCTGCACAGCCAAGACAATCCTAAGCAAAAAGAACAAAACTGGAGGCATCACACTAACTGACTTCAAACTATACTACAAGGCTACAGTAACCAAGACAGCATGGTACTGTACCAAAACAGATATATAGGCCAATGGAACCAAAAGAGGCCTCAGAAATAATGCCACACATCTACAACCATCTGATCTTTGACAATCCTGACAAAAACAAGCAATGGGGAAAGGATTCCCTATTTAATAAATGGTGTTGGGAAAGCTGGCTAGCCATATGCAGAAAACTGAGACTGGACCCCTTCTTTACAACTTATACAAAAATTAACTCAAGATGGATTAAAGACTTAAATGTAAGACCTAAACCCATAAAAGCCCTAGAAGAAAACCTAGGCAACACCATTCAGGGCATAGGCATGAGCAAAGTCTTCATGACTAAAACATCAAAAGCAATGGCAACAAAAGCCAAAATTGACAAATGGGATATAATTAAACTAAACAGCTCAGCTTCTGCACAGCAAAAGAAACTATCATCACAGTGAACAGGCAACCTACGGAATAGGAGAAAATTTTTGCAATCTAACCATCTGACAAAGGGCTAATATCCAGAATCTACAAAGAACTTAAACAAATTTATAAGAAAAAAACAAACAACCCCATCAAAAGGTGGGCAAAGGATATGAACAGACACTACTCAGAAGAAGACATTTATGTGTCCAACAAACATATGAAAAAAAAGCTCATCATCACTGGTCATTTGAGAAATGCAAATCAAAACAACAATGAGATACCATCTGATGTCAGTTAGAATGGCGATCATTAAAAATTCAGGAAACAAAAGATGCTGGAGAGGATGCGGAGAAATAGGAACGCTTTTACACTGTTGGTGGGAGTGTAAATTAGTTCAACCATTGTGGAAGACAGTATGACAATTCTTCAGGGATCTAGAACCAGAAATACCATTTGACCCAGCAATCCCATTACTGGGTATATACCCAAAGGATTATAAATCATTCTACTATAAAGACACATGCACACATGTTTATTGCAGCACTATTCACAACAGCAAAGACTTGGAACCAACCCAAATGGCCATCAATGATAGACTGGATAAAGAAAATGTGGCACATATACACCATGGAATACTATGCAGCCATAAAAAAGGATGAGTTCATATCCTTTGCAGGGACATGAATGAAGCTGGAAACCATCATTCTCAGCAAACTAACACAGGAACAGAAAACCAAACACTGCATGTTCTCACTCACAAGTGGGAGTTGAACAATGAGAACACATGGACACAGGGAGAGAAACATCACACACCAGGGCCTGTCGGGGGGTGGCTGGCTAGGGGAGGGATAGCACCAGGAGAAATATCTAATGTAGGTGACGGGTTGATGGGTGCAGCAAACCACCGTGGCATGTGTATACCTATGTAACAAACCTGCACATTCTGCACATGTATCACAGAACTTAAAGTACAATTTAAAAAAAAAAAAAGAATAGGCACAATGTTTCTCATCCATATTAGACTTCTGAAAAACAAGTATTTTAATATATTCTCTGGAACATCGTAAGTACTCATAAATAGTTGTTGAATCAATTAAAGTATATAATAAATAATTAATGTAGATATTTATTCTCACGTTTAAAAAGAAAAACAGCCCTTAGGAATTTAGAAAGAAATGAAAAGAAAAAAAAGCCTATGTTGAAATATACAAATATTTGAAGAAATCTGTATAAAGTATACAAAGACAAATCCACAGTCTGATCTAAATGATACATCCATGATGTATGGGTATGCAAGCAGTAATTTAATTTGCATAATATGCCCAGCACAGTAAGCATATTAATCATGCTTACTCTTCAGTTATTACTATGAAGAAAAAATCCAAATCTATATTCTACTGAATAAGCATAATTTGGGCTTTCAAAGGAAGATCAGACTGTTTAATTTCTATTGTAAAGGATTATTTGTGTTATTTTTACCTATCAAATTCTACTTAAATATAAAACAGAACAGTCTCAATCAGTGTTTGAGCAGAAATAAAATTATTTACAACTTGCTCCATTGATCTCAAAAAATCTCTGAGTGTGTAGGAAAGTTTATGAGTAAGAAAAGCAATTCTGACAATAATGTTGCTTTGATGAGTTAACTCAATGAGCTCCAAATGCCACTAATTTTTGCTTTTACTTTTTGTTAGAGAAGCATCTGTCTATCTCTCACTTAAATAAGCATTTAAACATTTAATTTAAATGCAACTGAAAAACACTATTTCTTCAAGTATCAAAAATTTAACAAAATAAATATAGCCTGATCTATTTCCAGTAGCCTTGTCATTTTAAGTATGTTAACTTTTATTTATTCACTTGGAATATAAATTGGTCATGTTATTCCCATCAAGTAGCTGTTAAAGACTTAAATTATTTTTTAATTAAAAAAAAAACCTTCCAACATCCTGGCATAAATATTTGTCACTTGGAAAACATAATTTCAAGTACTTTAATTCCTGATATTACTCTGTGTGAACTTGTCACATATTAATTCCTAAAAAATGCATAAGGATAAGCTATGATTCACAGATGTGGGTACCATAAAGTCAACAAAGTTGAGTCAGAGTAGGCATCTTACCTACGGTGTAATCTAAAAGCTCTACATAAATTGACTCATTTAAATATTAACCAGATATTCAATAAAATGCAAGCTACCACATGTGATGCTAGAAATGTAGAAAATAATTAAAATTTATTTACTTTAAGAAATAACATTTTATTAATTTTTTTACATGTCAAAGCACGATAATACCAGTGGGACTTCAGGTTCAAGATGGTAAACTGGGACTAGGCACGGTGGCTCATGCTTGTAATCCCAGCACTCTGGAACCCCAAGGCAGGCGGATCACTTGAGGCCAGGAGTTCGAGACCAGCCTGGAAAAACCCCATCTCTACTAAAAATATAAAAATTAGCCATGCATGGTGGCGTATGCCTGTAATCCCAGCTACTCAAGAGGCTGAGGCATGAGAATCGCTTGAGCCTGAAAGGCAGAGATTACAGTGAGCCAAAATTGCACCATTGTACTCTAGCCTGGGTGACAGAGTGAGATGCTGTCTCAAAAAAAAATGGTAAACTGAACAAACTGATCTTTCCCTCCTGAGATACCTTGAAAATTATAGTAAAGTAAATAATATCAACCCACTACAAGAGTGAATGAGAGAGCGATCAGCAGCAAAAGAGAAAAACAAATTTCTAAAACATTAGTGTGTTAGTCCATTCTTGCATTGTTAAAAAGGAATATCTGAGACTGGGTAATTTATAAAGAAAAGTGTTTTATTTTGGTTCATGGTCCTGTAGACTATAAAGGAAGCATGAGGCCAGCATCTGCTTCTGGTGAGGGCCTCAAGAAGCTTACAGTCATGGTGGAAAGTGAATGGGGAGCAGGTGCATCACATGGCAAGGGGGAGCAAGAGAGGGTGGAAGAAGATGCCAGGCTCCTTTAACAACCAGATCTTGCATGAACTCAGAGCAAGAACTCACTCATTACCACAGGGAGGGCACCAAGCCATTCGTGAGGGACCCACCCCATGACCCAAATATCTCCCACCAGGCCCCACCACCAACACTGGAGATTACATTTCAACGTGAGATTTGGAGGGGACAAATATCCAAACCATATCAATTAGCAAAGACTAATGAGGTATAACAAAGGTAGTAACTACATAGGATATTTGGAGAATAGGCTGTCAACAATGAGAAAACAAACCTGCAGATGTTCTAAATGATAAGGGCAGGAGGGTGAGGTGGGGCTAAAAGGAGAGGCCATTTTGGTCTGCACATGTAATATCTGCGTATGTAATTCACCTCCTCACAAACATTGCACAGCAGCTAAACTAGCTCCATGTAACTGTCAGGAGAGTGACTAACAAACAACTGAAATGAACTTTGACTAGTCTAAGCAGGAAAGAAATTTATTAAAGTTTACTGGGTAGCTCTCCGAACCTCAGTGAGTGCCAGAGAACCAAGCTAGAAAAGCACACAGCCAAGACCACACCCAAAATCCCATGCAGAATTGCTCTAGAGAAGACAGCCCTGCACCATACCAGGATACTGCATGTTATGACTGAAACCTCAATGCCTACTACCTCTGAGCTCCGGGGAGCTCATCTGCCCTTTCATGTCCCACACTTCTGATCTAAAATCTGGCACAAATGCCTCTAACTGATGGAGCCTACTTCACACTCTACAGGCAGACTGCCAGGAAGCTTGGGAAAACAGGGGCTTATTAAGTGGAAATTCCTCAAACACGAGCAAAGTATTCAAAGGTGTCAAATGGCCAAAGACAATTTAAAAATTATAGTATACACTCCTATGTGTTAAAGGAGGAAAAAGTACAAGTTGTTTGAGAACTTGAGCTTTTCATGTAAACTTGGCACCGGTATGGTAAAGCCCTGACATTTAGGCAACAGGCCTTTAGCATAAATGGCAGCTCTTTGATTGAGTGCCTAACATGAAGCCTATCAGTTGATAAAACACTGCCCATATGCACAGAAGTCACATTCTTCCTGTTTCTTCATTTAACAGCCATGCTGAATGGAGACACAAAGACATGAAGAAAGTCTTTAGCATTGTGTTAAATTTTTCTTTTATAAAAAGAAAGTAAAAAGGAAACTAACCACCAGGGACACAGGGATAAATTAAAGAAAAAAAAAAAAGCTTTAACAAATCTTTAATGAGTATTGGCAGAGACATTTCAGAAAGTTTTGGATCCATAAAATAACAAAGGAATAATGAGAGCAAGAAAGAGCTTTTGAAAATTACATGCATAGTACAAAAAAAAAATTTCAATGGTTTTAAAAAAAATGCATAATTAACATTTCCCCCCAAAGGCAAAAAAAAAAAACCAGGAAATAAATGTTTAAGAAAAAGAAGTCACTTAAAAATAAATCCAAGAGACCCAAATCCAACCAACAGTACTTCCAGAAAAAAAGAATAGAAAGGAGAAAATAATCACACAAAAAAAATACAAGAAAATTTCCCAGCGATAAAAGGCACAAGTGTTTCCAGAGATAAAAGGCACAAGAGATAAAAGGCACATTTCCCAGAGATAAAAGGCACAAGTGTTCAAAGTGAAAAATATGGCTACCAGGCTCCAAGAAAGAAGAATGGAAACAGATTCATTCCTAAACATATAATTAAGAAATTACCAAACAACAAAGAAAAAAAGAATATAAGAAAAGATTCCAGAGAAGAAAAAAATCACTAAAGGAGTAAGAAAGAGAATGGAAAACAAATGTTTCATCCCAAAACACCGAATACTAGAAAATAATCCAGCAACTGACTTATAGAAAATTCTTTTCAGTTTAGAATTTTACATCCAGTCAAAGAAGTATCCGAGAGAAACAAATATACTTTTAGTAATGTAATGGCTTACAAAATTTATATAGTATAAATTTATTTGCCAGAAGTAATTTTATAAAGTATTCCAGCAAAATGAGGAGAAAACCAAAAACGACAAAAACATACACATTCAGGAAATCGTGGTTACAAACAAGTTTGCTGGCTCTGCAAACTTTCAAATGACTAGTCCAGATAGCAGCTGTAGTATAGATGGCCCCCAAAAGGAGATGGCAAGGAGGAAGGTGGAGATGGAAGGCAACCTGACACATAATATAATCCTGAAGCCAGAAAAAAACTTGAAAATAAAATAAAAACAGAATAAACACCAGGGAAAAAGGAAGTCATAATTCAAAATTGAAGCCACTAGAATATGAGTCAGTGGACTTCAAAAAAAAAAGGAAGAAAATGCATTCAAAAAAATAAAGAAAGTAAAAAGCTGAAAATTATTAAGGATGAAACCAGGAAGGCCCACATATGCTTTCCCAATAAGAAAAAATAAAGGTAATTTGAAAAAGCGTCACAGAAATTCACAATGTAAATATGAATGAAAAGAAAATATGGCAAATTTTTAGCAAATGCTAGAATTAAATAATCCATTTGAAAGAAAGAATCTCCTTAACTTTGATTCTAGGAACATTCTTTGGGTGGCTCAGGAGCCATACTGAATGAAATGTAACTGTAGAATACTTCTTGATTCTGCAGTAAACAACATTTACAGGGTCATAATAACTTTAATGCTATTTATTAATTTTTCAACTTTTAGGGTCAACCAATAGACAAAAATACAAAATTTAATAACAAATACTAAACCTAAAATATTATCAATACTCTCACCACACAGTTGTCAGATTTAGGTGTTATAATATACAAGGAGAGATGGTGAGAGGAGAAAGGGTGAAATATCCCAAACTCATGAAGCAGGGGTTCAAGAGAAACTGTCTGTAGTTAATGGAACAAATATCGTGGTGGAAATGACAAATGTAACCAATAAAGGAGCTCATAAAATTAATATATGTGGAGGAGCAAAAAAGAAAAGGAGGTGAAATGAGTAGGCTAAATTATCTTCTACTATGGTATCTGCTTAAATGATAAATGAAAAAAAAAGAAAAGCAGACAGTATAAACATACAATTTAGCCCTAGAGGAAGAAGGACTAAAACCAGAAATGGTTCAAACTAGTTGTTCCTAGGGTCAGGTTATACCCTTTAGTGTAGGTAGTAGAGCAGAGGGCTACTGGTTTATACATAAGTAAGTTTTTTTTAACCATGTACATGGATTATTTTCACCCCAAATTATTACTTAGTTCCTTTCATTAAATAAAGTACTATGGGATTTCAGAGAAAATAGCTACTCACAAAGTCCTAGGGGCCAACGAAAGGTGAGATTTTTAGTTGAACTACAGGAAATACAAAGGAAGAGAGTAGTATTGTATGTCTTCTGTTTTAAGATTCACAACATTTTAACACCTCTGGCATCAGCATCATTGTTTAAATTTATAGCATCTTACAATTCCCGATGGCCTGGTAGCAGCTGTGATCTGGTTGTTATTGATTGCATACATCAAAACTGGACACTTTCTTAATGACCAACTGGACAATTTTAACCTATCAATATTTTGGTCAACAAACTATTTAAAGACCATTTGAGGAAAGAATATGAACTCCAAAAAACCCGATATTGACATCTTACAAGATCAGTTAAAAGCCGCATCAAAATTAGCAAAATGAACCAGCTTGGAAGAAAATCCCAGAAACAATAGTGAGGCATTCTTTTTTGAATTGCTGTATCACAAATATTCTTGATAGCCCAGAGTATGATACTGTTTGGGAAAATATTTACATCAACAGTTCTGAGATGAAAAGCAACTTGAAAAAAACAGACTTTGAATATGAATAAGAATCCCTTAACCGAAATCTTTGATTTATACTTTCCTTATGAGAATGGCATGATTTAAATAAAAATGTTTATATATATAATTCTTAGTGAGCTATCTGAATAAGTATAAATTTTTAAATGATAAAAAATACTGTATAATAGTTAAATACGCAGAGCTTTTTCTTTTTACTGATACAAAAATGATGGTTATCTTAATTCATTCATGTTGTAACAAAGGAAAACCTGAGACTGGGTAATTTATGAAGAAAAAAGGTTTCTTGGCTCATGGTTCCACAGGCGATACAAGAAGCATGGCACCGGCACCTGTACTGCATCTGGTGAGGGCCTCGAGTTGCTTCCACTCATAGTGCAGGCAAAGGAGAGGGGAAAGGAAGCCAGCATGCAGAGATCACATAGTGACAGCATGGAAGCAAGAGAGAGGAGGGACAAGCCAAGCTCTTTTTAAAAATCAGTGCTCACAGGAACTAATAGAGTAAGAACATGCTCATTACTGTGATGATGTCACCAAGCCACTCTTTGGGGATCTGCTCCATGACCTAAACACCTCCCACTTCAGGACTCACCTCTAACACTGGGAATCAAGTTTCAACATGAGATTTGGAGGGGACTATTATCCAAACTATATCAGTGGTGTAGCTTAAAAATCCATGCTGTCTTAGACTTAAAGAATCACAACTACCTAGAAAAAAGGGTAATTAGGAGAAATCAGAGTAATTACTTATGATTGGGAAATTATAAAAGATTCCATAGAGTGGACATTTAATTGTCCCTCAAAGATGCAGAGGAATATGAAGCACATTGTAAGTATTAATAAATGAGATTCCCACAGAACCTCTGGTCAGTAAAAACAAACATCAGCCAAAGAGCATCGGTAAATGCCAATAAGAACTCCTGCATAAGAATTGATTTGCAAGTTTAGAATCCTATTAATCAAAAGACCAAGAAGCCACTTACCTAAATTACTGTTTTTATAGATTGTTTCTTTGCATCCTGTTTGTTGTGTCAACAAAACTTTTCTCCCAGCCTGGCACGATGGTCCACACCTGTAATCCCTGCGCTTTGGGAGGCCAAAGCGGGAGGATCACTTGAGTTCAGGAGTTTGAGACCACCCTGTGTAACATAGCAAGACTTCGTCCCTACTAAAAATTTGAAAAAATTAGCCAGGTGTGGTAGCATGCAGTGGGGACACTGAGGCAGGAGGGTAGCTTGAACCCAGAGACTGAGGCTGCAATGAGCTATGATCATGCCACTGCACTTCAGCCTGGGTGATAGAGCGAGACACTGTCTTAAAAAAATATTTTCTCCCCCAAATCAGACCTATGACTAGCAGTGTTGTTGCAAGACACCACACTAGATAGTATCACCACACTAGATACCCAGCTACCTCCTGGATAGGTCTAATATGATAAGTATACCATAATTCTAAGAGATAACATCTTACTACTATAACAGCAACTACAATTAACAGGTGCTTATGTGTATGCCAGTATGTTTTCTCTCTGTGTTTATACACACACACACATGCACACACATGCATATAATATGTGTGTTTATCTATGTGTGTGTGTATGATTTATCATCTCTTTCATCTCCTAAACACAAACCACTTTGGTTCAGAAATTCTGTTGGTGTGCACAGAAATCTAATTGTTTGATTCTCTCATGTTCATAGCTTCTTAATTTGTATAGGTTTAGAGACCCAAATAACAGCGGCTAAAGTTACAATAAGAAAGTATAATTAATTCTGAGAAAAACTAAGTTGTCCTCCACCCTCACAAAACAGATAGTTGGTAACAGCTGTTCTTAAACATGAGTTTTTCACGTTTTTAAAGCCTATTATAATACCATTATAGAAGCACCTGAGACTCTCTATTTGGCTCAAACCTTTCAGCTGTTATCTAGTGAAAATAGATAAAACATTTATATGTCCCCACAAACTTTATAGACAGTATTGGTCCAAAGCTAGGGCACACTCACTCACTTTCACTTGTACTTATGTGCACTCACTCTCATTCATTCTCTTTCTCCCTCTCTCGGCACTCCTAATCTCTTTCGCCTTGCTCTAGTTTTTTTTCCATATACTTACTACCTTCTAGTATATGGTATAATTTACTCTATTAAGTTTATTGTTTGCACTCTGTTATGTCTTACAAGCACAGGGATGCTCATCTATTTTGTTCAGTATCTAGAATAATGCTTAGCCCCGAGTAAGCTCTCAATAAATATTTGAATAAATAAATGGAATTCAAGATGCTCACAATATATGGCAAGAGAGTATTAAATGAAGTTAAAGTAAGCTAAGGCCTCTGTATTTTCCTGTACTCATTAGTGCTCAAAGTGTATTCATTTTCAACTTCGATAACTTAAGGATTCATATGGTAACTTCCACAGTAGTTACTGAACAATAGAAATAGAGTGTATAACTCTTAAAGTAATGAAAGAAAATTTGAAGTGATAAAAATAATCAACCTAAAATGTGGCAATAAAAAAGAAAATAACCAGAATTATGGGCAAATAAAGAAAGCAGAAAGTAAATACAAGCCTCAATATATCAGTAATTGTATTAAATGTAAACTGACAAAATTCTCCAGTGGAAAGACATTGAATTTAAAATACCTTAAGAAATAAATGCTGTTTACTACAGACACATCTAAAACATAAGAATATAGAAAGGTTGAATGCAGAATGACAGAAAAATGATATAGGATACAGAGACACATTTAAAATAAGTATGTAGAAATCTGAAAGCAAAGGATGGAAAAAAGATTTAACATGCACATACGGAACAAAAGAAAGCTGGTGGAGTTATATCAATATCATACAAAATAGGCTTTAATGCAAAAAGAAACATTAGAAATCAAGAAGCTTACTCCAAATTGACTAAAGTTTCAATTAACCAGAAAAATACTTTTAAGTTAATAACTGGGCAAAAAGAAATATGAAAATCAGAACCTATTTTAAACTGATCTTAGTGAAAACAGTATCTCAAAATTTATTTCACACAGATAAAGAAGTATGTAGAAGGCAGCTCAAAGCCATAAATAATACTTTTCAAAAAGAAGAAAGGCTGAAAATTAATGTGCTATCATTCCTTTATAATCTGTTAGAATAAAACATTTAATCGAACATTCACTTAAGCAGTTAGAACAGAAAAAATCAAAGAAAGTAGAAGGGAAAAAGAAATAATAAAGAAACATTGTCTTGATTACTACAGATTTAAAACGAGTCTTGCTATCCGATAGCACAAATTCTCCCATTTTGCATCTTTTTCAAGAGTGCTTTAGCATTCTTTGGGTTTTGACTTTCCATATACATCTTAGAATCAGCTTGTCAAGTTCTAAAAAAATTGTTAGGAATTTAATAGAGATCCTATTGAGACTGTTTTGAGTCTATAACAATGAAAAGGAAATTGATATCCTTTAATCATTCAGTCCTAAAATGTATGACTATCTGTCTCCATATACTGAGTTCTTCCCTAATATGAGATGTAAATCTCATCTAATTTTTTCCATAAAAGTCCCTGAACATCTTGTTAGATGTTTTTCACAGGAACTTCATGTTTTTGGAATCATTTTAAATGATGCATTTCTAAAATATTTCATTTTCTGTTTCTTGATGGCATATAGAAATATACTTTATTTTTAAAGTATTTTTTAAAATATCAGTTTTATTGGTCTATTATTCATATATCATAAAGTTCACTCTTTTATAGCATACAATTCACTAGGTTTAGTACATTGAGTGAATGTATCTAACAGAGCAATCATCACCACTGTCTAATTTCAAAATATTATCATCACCCCACAATGCACCTCTTCCTCATTAGCAGTCGCTCCCCTTTCACCAGCTTCCTCCATCCCCGGCAACCACTGATCTGCTTTCTGTGTTTATGGACTTGCCTATTCTGGACAGTTCATATAAATAAAATCCTGGGGTCTTTAGTAACTGGCTTCCTTCTGTTAGCATCATGTTTTCAAGGATCATCGTGTTGAAGCATTTATCAGCACTTCATTCCCTTTTATTGCCTAATAATATTCCATTGTATGGATATACCTCAGTTTGTTTATCCATTCATCAGTGTATGGACATTTGGGCAGTTTCTGTTTTTTGGTTATTATGAAGAATGTTGCCACTGACACTTCTGTACAACTTTTTGTGTGGATGTATATTTTCATCCATCTTAGGTATATGCCTAGGAATAGAATTACTGGGTCATATTACCATATGACTATCTTAAACACTTACGTTTAGCATTTGAAAATAATTCATGTCACTTTCAGATGGAAGCATTTGAAGATGGCTCACGAGTATCCATCCCTGCTGTCTTTTCCCCTACCACACCAAATGGGAAAGTTCCATGTTCCAGATTGTTACAGTTACAGAATGATGGAGTTTCCCTGAACTTAGACCTCCAAGTTATTACATGGAGAAGTTGCCCCAGAGAGTTGTCTTAGTCCATAGGAGACTTTGCATCAGTGAAGAACTGCATTAAGCCCATGAGATTTGAAGATTATCTGTTACTGCAGCATAACCTAACCTATCCTCACAGACACCAGGCTTAATCTCACCAGTAATTAAAGTAGTAACTATTAATGAGATAATACCCATCAGATGGCGAAAAATTAAATGTTCTGGCAATACGAAGTTTGTCCATCTGGTGTAGAGCAATAAAAACAGGAATGCAAATTGGTGAATCCACACTAAAAATGTGTGGCATTCATTATCTAATAAAGTTGAAGTCTGCAAGTCCTGCTAGCCCGTAATTTGTCTATTGGTTTTACGCTCTAAAGAAACTTCGTATACTAGCACACTTGTAGATGGATCATAGCTGCTTTATTTATAGTGGCAAAAAAGAAGGAAGGGAGGAAGGCAGGAAGGAAGAAGTGATGGGTGAGGGAAGAAGAAAGGAAGGAAACTAAATGTGCATAATCAGAATTCATGTTTTAAATTAACGTGTTATATTTATAGAATTGAATATATCCAGGAATAAAAATGAACAAACAATAGCATTCAATCACCAAAAAAAGCATTGAGCACCTCTTACATGTTAGGCCCTATTTCACACACTAGGGACACAACAGTGAGCAAAACAGGACAAAATTCTGCCCTTGTGGAGTTCACATTCTAGTGGAAATGGGACAGAAAAAAAAAAGATAATTAGAAAGTCACACAGTATTTTATAAGGTAAAATAATGCTATAGGGAGACACAAAGGAGAGGAGAGGAGAAGAGAGGAAAGGAAAGGAAAGGAGGAAAGGAAAGGAAAGGAAAGGAAAAAGAATATATTACAAGGTAAGAAGATATGGAATTTTAAATACTGTAATCAGAGTAGGCCTCATTGAAAAGGAGACATTTGAACGAAGACTTAAAAGAAGTGACAGTAACAAAGCGAACCATGTGGAAATCTGGAGGACAAGCATTCAAGGCAGGAAAAGCTAAAATGAAAAGATGGTTTCTAATATAGTCAAGAAATAGCAAGGAGCCCAGTGTGGCTGGAACTGAGTAAAGTGAAAGGAAGAACAGTAGGAAATGAGACCAGACAGGTAAAGTGGCAAGCAGAATGATCAGGTAGGGCCTTGGAGGTTATCCTAAGGACTTTGGTTTTTACTCTGTGTGAACCAGAAATCCATGGAGAGTTTGGAGGAGAAAAGTGACATGATCCGACATGCATTATAAAAGGAGTGCTCTGATTGCTATTTTGAGAATGTATTGAAGAGGGCAAAAAATAAAAGCAGGGAGACCAGTTTGGAGGTCCTTGCAATAACTCACGTGAGAGTTGATGGCACCTTGTACTAGGGTGGGAGCTGTCAGAGGCGTCTGAACCAGAGCAACTCCATCTTGAGTAGGGGCTGGGTAAAATGAGGCTGAGACCTACTGGGCTGCATTCCCAAACAGTTAAGACATTCTAAGTCACAGGATGAGATAGGAGGTCAGGACAAGATACAGGTCATAAAGATCTTGCTGATAAAACAGGTTGCAGTAAAAAAGATGGCCAAAACCCACCAAAATCAAGATGATGACGAGAGTGACGTCTGGTTGTCCCCACTACTACACTCCCACCAGCGCCATGAAAGTTTACAAATGCCATGGCAATGTCAGGAAGTTACCCAATATGGTCTAAAAAGGGGAGGCATGAATAATCCACCCCGTGTTCAGCATATCATCAAGAAATAGCCATAAAAATGGGCAACCAGCAGACCTTGGGGCTGCTCTATGGAGTAGCCATTCTTTTATTCCTTCACTTTCCAAATAAACTTGTTTTCACTTTACTCTACCTAATTGCCCTGAATTCTTTCTTGCATGAGATCCAAGAACCCTCTCTTGGGGTCTGGATTGGGACCCCTTTCCTGTAACAGAGCCATGGAAGTAATGAGAAGTCATTATATTCTGGATTTGTTTTGAAGATAGAGCACAGAGAATTCCCCAACACATTACAAACGAGGTATGAGAGAATAGGAGGAATCGAAGATGACTCCAAGGTTTGGGGCCTAACTAACTTGAAAGATGGAGATGAGGAAGACTGCAGATAGTGCAGGTTTGGGAAAGATGAAGATTCCATGTGGAGAATTTGAACTGGAGATGCCTACTAGACATCCAAATGGAAATGCTCAGTAGACAGCTGGAATATAAAGATCTGAAGTCCAGAGGGAGCAGTCAAGGCTTGAGCTATCACTTTCGGAATCATCAACACACACACATAGAGAGATTGCATGAAATCATCAAAAAGCATGGAGAAAAAAGAGCTAAACCTTAAGGTATTCCAAGGTTAAAACCTCTAAGAAAAGAGGAGAGGCTAGCACAGGAGACAGAAAGGAGCAGCCAGTGAAGAAGGAGGAAAATCAAGAATGCATGGTGTCCTGGAAGTCAGTAAGGGACTGTTTCAAGGAGCAGAGTAATAACCGTGACAATGCTACCAGTAGTGAAGTAAAATGAACACTGACAACTGACTACTGGATGAGCAAAGGTAGTATCATTGGTGAACTTGACAGTAGTAGACCTTGACGTAGTTTTAGCAGAATATTGAAAACAAGATTAATAGGAATGAGTTTTTTTTAACAGTGTGAAGAGAATAATTGGAGACAGGGAATAGAGACAATCCTCCCTCCCTCCCTCCCTCCCTCCCTTCCTCCCTTCCTTCCTTTCTTTTTCTTTTTGAGACAGAGTCTCACTCGTCTCCCAGGCTGGAGTGCAGTGGTGCGATCTTGGCTCACTGCAACCTCCGTCTCCCAGGTTCAAGCAATTCTCTGCCTCAGCCTCCGGAGTAGCTGGGATTACAGGCGCCTGCCACCAGGTCTGGATAAATTTTTTTATATTTTTAGTAGAGATGGGATTTCACCATCTTGGCCAAGCTGGTCTTGAACTCCTGACCTTGTGATCCACCCGTCTCAGCCTCCGAAAATGCTAGGATTACAGGCGTGAGGCACCATGCCCAGCCGAGATAACTCTTTCAAAAAATATTGTTTTAAAGGAGAGAGAAGAAATCCCTTAATCTCATAAACATAATGTTAAGCAAAATAATCTATGATTTAATGCCTACCATAATCATATAAAACTTTTTTTGGGCCAGGCATGATGGCTCACACCTGTAATCCCAGCACTTTGGGAGGCCGAAGTGGGCAGATCATGAGGTCAGGAGATTGAGACCATCCTGGCTAACACGGTGAAACCCCATCTCTACTAAAAATACAAAAAAAAAAAAAAAATAGCCAGGTGTGGAGGCACACGCCTGTAATCCCAGATACTTGGGAGGCTGAGGCAGGAGAATCGCTTGAACCTGGGAGGCGGAGGTTGCAGTGAGCTGGGATCGAGCCATTGCACTCCAACCTGGGCGACAGAGCAAGACACCGTCTCAAAATAAATAAGTAAATAACTTTCTTTTTTTAAAAAAAGGTAAATTAGATTTGTGATGAAGAAGGAACAAACAAGAAGTTTTGGGATATTTGCAATGTTCTTTTTTTGGGGGTGGTGAATAATGAGAAATTTGCCTTACAATTATTATAATGATTTATCATATTATCTGTCAACCATTAAATTTGTTTTATATGCTTCTCTCTATATTCATTACAGTTCAAATGTTTTAAAGATTTTATTTATATTTATATAAGATTTGTAGTTTTAAAATATTTTAAATATTAATAAGATTATGTGTGATGATAACAGGTAATATCACTATTAAGTCACAAAAAGTATTAAATCAGCCTGGGCAACATAGCAAGACTCCAAAAAACATGTTTGAGAAGGAATATTCCAAACTATAAGCAGATCGTATTTGAAGAGCAACTCCAAAAGGTTGTACATACTGAGTGTGGCCAGTAGGTGAACATTTGCAACTTTCTAATTTAATTAAAACTGGAATTTGTAAATCACATAAAGTCTTAAGAATTAGAGCAGACTATAAGCCTTTTTCTTCATTTTTAACTCCACAGGACATACTCTTTAAGTGGGTGTGTTTGGCTCTCAGTATGAAAAATGCAGTACAATATCTGCCAAGAGAGTTCTTTTTTTTTTTTTTCTGGATACTTTTAGTATTTATTTCCAAGACCTCCCAGAAATATTGCACTTCACAAATACACACCATTTGTTCCTATAATAGTGATCTAAGTGTGAAGAGATTACTTTTTTCTCAGTAAATTGCTGAGAGAGTAAGTCCCCACATTACAAAGGAGGAACAGAGCCTCTGCCACCCATGATGACACTCCCAAGCCATGAATGAGTTGGCTGTGGACCGTGAGCTGTTGGATCCATCCAGTTTCAGTTGTTTTCCAAATGACTTAGCAACCAGGGTATATTTGAGTTCTACGATTCCCTGTTCACTCAACAAGCAATTTACTTACATCTCTGAGCATCTGTTTCAACGGAGATGACTATCTCTACTTCACCAGAGAATATGAGGGAAGATAAATGCCTGAGTAACTTACGACATTTCCAGCCCAAAGGCAAAAAGTCACTGAAAATAAGTTAAAATGTACTCATAAAAGAGTACTTCAAATCCATTTCACTCTCCCAAACTGCATACAAAGTACATGTGGGTGAGAAAAGATTGTTTTATTATTTTGAATCCAAGCCACCGAAAAGAGGCAGAAATATTCTTAAACCTGTCCTTACTAGTGATAACTAAGTTTCAAATAATCTTGAAAATGCTACTGATAAAACATTAGAAGTAGCAACAAAAGCTACTGTAACATTCTCTGTCTGCTAAAACAACCCGACATTTTCTTCTAATCAAAAAGAAAGTATGAAGTACACTAACCCTTCACAGTACATACTCACTGTAGACACTTTTGTGTGTGCGTGTGTCCATTCCTAATTTCTGGTTTATCTGTTTAGTTAATCTCTGCTATTTTCTGGGATTCATTCCAAGGCAACTAACTGCATTACTAAAATTGGCATCTCTGCTATTGTGCTTAATTTCACAGCGGCTCAGAAGTGACCTGAAACCAATTTTTTAACATTCTGCCCACAACTTTATGCTAAAAAGTAGCCAGCACTGTTCAAGAACAATAATTGATAGGAAAGGTGCAATGTTTGTTTTCCTTCAAACACATTTTTATTTCCTCCAGATGTACAATACTTAAAGAGAATACGTGCTATGCTAAAGCCATGTATTTTTGTTGCAGTGTTGCAAATACTGGCTTAAAGATTATTTAAGGTAGTATGAGAGGTGTAAATATTCATATAAATCTATATGTTTCTGAGCTCTTTATACATGTTTTTCTCTATACCTTTTGGTGGGAAAATCCTAAAAGCCTAAGTCATAAATGCATATAAACTAGTGCCAAGATTAATACAGATTGTTTTTATTTCATGAAATTATGAAACTAGCAATGTTTGTAACAAGTTAAAGAGAGTTAAGGAATTATACTTTTTTATTCTGGGGCATACCTTAGATATTCTCAAAAGGCCCTCAGAAATTATCTTAATCCAACCCTCCAACTTGAAAAAATGAGGAAACTGAGGCCCACTGAGGTTAAACGAACCACAGTGTCATAGGTAATAAAATGGAAATCACACCAAAACTCAGATTTTCTGATTCCAATTCCAGAGCCGTGAAAGGGTATTTGTTTCAATATACTTTAATACTTACAGAAATAAATGTTAACAGAGGACACCCCAGGCCACCCTTCAGTATAAAGAACTCCATTAGGCTGACAAGAGCCCAGAATTCTAATCTGTTTGCAAACACAAGTTCTAGAAATAACACCAGAAAGAACCAGTTTTTAAATGGCACCATACCTGCGGTTCCCAAATGATTCCTCAGTTGGGTCTCTTTTTCTCACCACTACAAATCTCTTTCAGTAAGTGGTTTGGTTAGGATTGGGTTTGGGGTTTTGCTGCTGATGCTGCTACTGTTGTTGTTTAATTTGCTTGCAGGGAAGGGGGGAGGTGGGAAACAAAAGCTGAGGTCTAAACCATCCCTACAGAACAATTATTTTTTCTCTTGTCATTCGAACCAGCAAATTCTCTTCAGGACCCCAGGGTTTACTGTTTTAGGTGGCAGTCCCTTCAGTTTCCAAAGTAGGCACGAAGCCTGGAAAAGAAGTTGGCCGGGTGGCATGCTCTCTCGGTGGTCCCGAGCAGGTTCGCTCCAGGCGCTGCCGGCTGCTGTCAGCCGTGTGTCCAGATCTTCCTCGCCCCACGGGAGCCGAGAGTCGCCCGGCGTCGCACCCACCCCACCCCCGCCGCCCGCCGGGCGCTGGCCCCTCTGGTGGTCCCGCTAAGCTGCCCCGGACTCCCAGTCCCTAAGCGGCCCGCGGGGCTCCGCGTCTGCCACGCGCGTCCCAAAGCCCCATTCTCGAGTTACCCAGAGCGGGAAGAGGTGGCAATAGGGGGTGTCGGAGAGGGAAGCAGGTCCCACCTTGATCCGGGGGTCCAACTCGACCGAAGGCAGAGATGGCGGCGGCGCCGGGGCTCGGGCACCTGCGTCGCGCGCGCTCGGCTGGCCGTGGGCTCTGCGATGGGGCCGCTCCGAACTCCTCGCCCAAGGTGCGGGGCAACTCTCAGGAGAGGAGGAGGGCAGCCGAGTGCGTGGGGAGGTGGGGCTGAGCAGGAGCAGGCTGGGGTGGGGAGAAGGGAGGGAAGAGTCGGGTGGCCGCCCGCGTGCGCCCCGCGCCCTCCGCAGCCGCCCCTGAGCGGGAGGAGCGGACTCGAGCGGCTAGGGCGGTCGCGCAGGTGGCGGGGGCGGCGGCGGGGAATGCCGCTGCGGGTGGCCGCGGGCCTGCGGGAGGAGAGACCCGGCGCTGGGGAGGGAGGACCCCTGCCCGCAGGGAGGCCGAGAGCCCAGGCGAACTCAGCAAGCACGCGGTGCCGCGAGTTCCCTGGCAGTACCCCCCCACCCCGGACCCGCGTCGGTGACCGCAGGCTTGAGATAGGCACTGGGGTTCCCCCGTCCCTCCCACCCCCAGACTTCCAGAACTCTGCAGCAGCAGTTGTGTAAAATGCTACAATTAAGGTTGCAATAACTGGGAGGAGTGGGAAAAGAAAGCTAAATGGAAAAGATCAAAACTAGTGAGGTCATGAGTTTCCTGATACCAGGGATGCTTCCGCCAGCATCTTCGTCATGCTTATCAGGAAGGCTGAAGAGGGCATTCGCGCATCTGGTGGGTGGGGGTGTTTGGAGGGGATTGAGCTATATGACCACCACTCTTTCAATCCTGAAATTCAATGATGTTTGACGTAGCAAAATTTTTTTTGAAAGTACTCTTGAACAGTCTGATTCCAACTCCAAAGTAAATAGACATTTTCCGGCCCTCCACTCAAAATGTTCACTCATTATTTGTCTATGTATTAAATGCGTCTTTATTGAGGAGTGTCAGACAATATGCTAGGTGCAGTTATAGAGTTCCTTGAATTTAGAGTTAGGGGTGGGAGGACAGACAGATAAGCATGTATTCATACAATTACCATCAGCGCTGGGTGATATGGAAGAAATCAACAGGGTAAGGGAGAAAGAATGAAGCGTAGTGGACATTCTCTAGATTGGATGGATGGCTAATTTTTAAAGGCCTCTACTTAATTTGACTAACGGCCTCATAGGAAGAAGCATTCCAGGCACACAGGGAAAGTGAGTTGCGGGAAGTAGCCCAGAGATGGGTAGGCCAGAAGCGACGACTCCCGGCTCCCTGGCCCAGCTGCTGTGCATTATGGAAGGAACCTTGCTATAACTTCGCAAATGGAGCTTCTCCTTCATAGGAATCGCCTCTCAGAACGAGTGTCACTTTTTTGAATAGCACTTGGATCTCCAGACCAGTTGTTGAAGCCACTTTATTCAGAAGTGTCATATTTGTGTACTAAATGGGCTTTCAGCACTATCTGTGGTAGGCGAAAAATAACCCAGAAACACTAACCCTTGGATTTCCACCAAATCTCAACAGACAGACAGGTGTCTCTATTGGATGGAGACAAAAATTGAGGTAGGTTTCTGCAGACTATTTAGAAAACAAAACAATACAAAAAGAGCCTTTAATTAAATAATCAGTACGAACTAACATATTAGTTTCCTAGGTCTGCTGTAACAAATTACCACAAACTTAATGCTCAAACAGAGATGTATTCTCTCACTGCTCTGGAGACTAAAATTCCAAAATCAAGGTGTCAGCAGGTGTGTACTGGCTCCCAAGGCTCTATGAGAAAATCCTTCCTTGCCTCTGGTGGCTTCAGGAATTCTTTGGCTTGTGGCCACGTAACTCCAGTCTCTGCCTTCATCTTCACTTGCCTTCTCCTCTGTGTCTGTGCCCTCTTCTCTTCTTTTTGTTGTAAAGGACATTTGTCTTTGGATTTAGGGACCAACCAGATAATTCAGGATGGTCTCATCTCGAGATTCTTAACGTAGTTACATCTGCAAAGACCCTTTTTCCAAATAAGGTCACATTCACAGGTTACAGGAATTAGGATGTGGGCATTTTTGGTGGGAAGTCACTATTTAACCCACTATAACTAGTAAACTAATAGAGATCAAAATCATTGCCTACTGTGGTATCGGGTGTCATTCCAGCATCATTATTTGAAATTGTATTGGCACTAAATATAATTAATTATTTCATTGTGAACTACTAAAAATAAGTATCGCCGGGCATGGTGGCTCATGCCTGTAATCCCAGCACTTTGGGAGACTGAAGTGGGCAGACTACTTGAGCCCAGGAGTTCAAGACCAGCCTGACCAACATGGTGAAACCCCATCTCCATTAAAAATACAAAAATTAGCTGGGTGTGGTGGTGCACACCTGTAATCTCAGCTACTTGGGGGCCTGAGGCAAGAGAATCGGTTGAATCCAGGAGGCAGAGGTTGCATTGAACCGAGATCACACCACTGCACTCCAGCCTTGGTGACAGTGAGACTCCGTCTCAAAAAAGTAAATAAATAATAAAAAATAAAAATAAGTATCATTAAACCTGGGCATTTTGAAGAATAACTGCCCTGTAGGAAACAAGTACAAAGGCTCAAACCCTCAACTTGTGTTTGAGTTTCAGGCAATACTTGAAGGTCAAGCATGGCACCTCACAAGTGACCATTGTTACAGAAATGCATCCTAAATGCATCTGTATAGATTTCTGATAATGTGCCAATACTGTGCTCCGAGTGAGAAGGTCCTTATAGAATTTACATTCTAGGCTAGGAGACACCTTTGAATCTCATTTCACCTGGCACAATATTGGGTACATACCTGAAGCCTGATAAAGAACTGTGAATGAATACATGAGTAAATACCAAGCAGCTAAGCAAATTATTACTACGGTGAAAAACATCTCTACAATGAGAAGATAGAATTTACTAGAGCAAAGCAGATTAGCACCCTGACTCATTCAGTATTTTTTTTGAGAGAAGGAAAAAAAAAAAACCCTAAAAGGAAAGCTTTGATGTGAAAAGGAAATTAATGAGATCACCTATCTTCTCTTTTGAAAAAAAATCAATACTATGCCCACTTACACAGATACAGATCCTGCTGGGAACAATGAATCATGACTGAAATTATAGTTACTTAAATCAGGAGAAATATTTTATCCAAGTATTTTAGTTGTTAGTTTCAAAAACATAAATATTGCCCAACTATTAAGTTGAGAATATTGATACGCCACTTCTTGAAACTCTTTACGAATAATGATTTGAATGACTCCGTTTTCTTTCCGGCTCAACTGTTTTCTCTTTGACTTTCCTTCTTACTCTTCCACTCTTACAATTTTAAGCAATCAACCTATATCTTAATAACTACCAAGCTGGGTCTTATTCATTGACTTACATGGGTTACAGGCCCATCCCCGCACCAGTCGTGTGGCCAGAGAGTTGGAATATGATGACTGCCCAAGTAAATGGGAAAATGGTAAACCTGGAAACTATTTTCCAAGTAAACCTGGAAAATGGGGGATATGAGGAGGGTGAGTCTTAACCTAACCAAATTACTGAGGGCAGGGAGAAAGTGGAACCCCAAAATAAAATTAGGGTGCTTTTACTGATGGGGAAGTTGACAAAGAAAAGCACATATATCCACTACAATAGACACTCAGAAAAGCTTGTGGTTGAACTGACTGTAGTTTTAAATAAAACAGTGACTCGCTTTGGCCATGATACCCTAAATGTCTTTTGGAAAGTTTTTCAGTATAAAATAATAATTATAACTATGATTATATGTCTAATTACCACACAGATCTTAAAAATTTGCATTCAAAAATGCATATAAAAGCCTTCCGAGTAGCTGGGATTACAGGTGTCCACCACTACACCCACGTAATTTTTGTATTTTTAGTAGAGACGGGGTTTCACAATGTTGACCAGGCTGGTCTCAAACTCCTGACGTCAATTGATCCGCCCGCCTCAACCTCCCAAAGTGCTGGGATTACAGGTGTGAGCCACCGTGCCCAGCCAGCAATAGACTATTTAAATAGTACCAATGCCATTTCCAGCCAAAAGAAATTTATATTTAATGTACATGAAACTTTTAAGTCCTCATGGAAAAACAATTTACAACTTGTAAGTTGTAACTGCTAATTCAAGAACTATTGTGTTCAATGAGCCAATGATATGGAACTATTTCTATTTTGATTCCTAACATGTCTCTGAGAATAAGTCCCTTTAAAACCTAAATGTTCAAGTGAAAATAAATTATTGTGTTATGTGAGGTGGCAGCTTTGGTTAATGGAATAAGTGATAGAAGACACCGTGACAGTCTTTTTGATGTATCAGTATGGCTAGGCTGCAGTCCCCAATTACATAATCAAACACTAATCCAGGAGTCGCTAGATGTCATTAAAGTCCATAATCAGTTGACTGTACATGCAAGAGATTATCCTAGATAATCATGGTGGGCCTGGTTCTGTCAGGCCTTTGAGTCAGATGGCTGTTTTAAGGGTTTTCGATCAGACAAAAGGCCTTAACCCTTTTTCCATTTAGAAAAAGAAAAGTGCAGCTCACTGCCAGCGCTCATTTAATTTTCATTAGACACATTCTTTGAGGCTGAAGCAAATCTGACTGATTTTCAATGTGAAAATAAAATATAAAAACTGTTCTTGGAGTTATTTCTAAACAGAGCTAACACCAGAATCATCGGAATCGTCTGTTACGGAAAAATCAGGTTAATCAAATGAATCTTTGGCCAACAACTGTTGGGAACAGGCCCCCAAATCTGGCCATAAACTGGCCCCAAAACTGGCCATAAGCAAAATCTCTGCAGCACTGTGACATGTTTGTGATAGCCATGACACCCATGCTGAAGGTTGTGGGTTTACCGGAATGAGAGCAAGGAACACCTGGCCCACCCAGGGCCAAAAACCACTTAAAGGCGTTCTTAAACCACAAGCAATAGCATGAGCGATCTGTGCCTTAAGGACATATTCATGCTGCAGATAACTAGCCCAACCCATCCCTTTACTTCAGCCAATCCCTTTATTTCCCATAAGAAATGCTTTTAGTTAATCTATAATCTATAGAAACAATGCTTATCACTGGCTTGCTGTCAATAAGTATGTGGGTAAATCTCTGTTCGAGGTTCTCAGCTCTGAAGGCTGAGACCCCTGATTTTCCACTCCACATGCAATATTTCTGTGTGTGTGTCTTTAATTCTTCTAGCGCCGCTGGGTTAGGGTCTCCCCAGCCGAGCTGGTCTTGGCAAACAACTCTTCAATAATGATGTTAACATCATTCATAGGAATGCCACATTTTCTAGGATTTGACATTTTCAGGGATTGAGAATTACTATATTTTGTAAATGGAAATATCACTACTAAAAACAGAATGTGATCAATAGAGTGATGTCTTTTGTTTCTGAAGTCAATATACCAGAGGGATGCGAAAATAATAATAAAAGCATATTTCTTGGCAAAGTTATCTTGGGGTAAATGCTACAGCTACAGACGCCACTGGTGGGTATTCTCTGGGCAAACCGGTTAAGTCCAGGCATGGTGGCTCACTCCTGTAATCCCAACACTTTGGGAGTCCAAGGCAGGAGCATCACTTAAGGCCTAGGAGTTCAAGACCAGCCTGGGCATCATAGCAAGACCCTATATTTAAAAAACATTTTTTTGGCCAGGTGCTGTGGCTCATGCCTGTAATCTCAGCACTTTGGGAGGCCAAGGCTGGCAGATCACGAGGTCAGGAGATCGAGACCATTCTGGCTAACACGGTGAAACCCCGTCTCTACTTAAAATACAAAAAATTAGCCGGGCGTGGTGGCAGGCCCCTGTAGTCCCAGCTACTTGGGAGGCTGAGGCAGGAGAATGGCATGAACCCAGGAGGTGGAGGTTGCAGTGAGCTGAGATCATGCCACTCACTCCAGCCTGGGCAACAGAGCGAGACTCCATCTCAAAAAACAAAAACAAAACAAAACAAAAAAAACATTTTTTTTTGTAAATTAGCCAGGCTTGGTGGGGCAGACCTGTAATTTTAGCTATTTGGGAGGCTGAGGTGTGAGGATTGCTCAAACTCAAAAGTCAAGGCTGCAGTGAGCTGTGATCACACCACTGTACTTCTAGCCTGGGCGACAGATCAAGACCTTCTCACTTCCTTCTGAGGAAGTAGAGTTGTTAGAATCCATATTTCTACTAAAAGTCTGCTAAGTTAGAAAGTTAGAAGGCTATCTTAAACAGACTTTTAGTAGAAATATGGATGTTAACAACTCTGCTTCTTCAGAAGGAAGTGAGAAGCAAGGTAGAGAAAAATATATATTACCCTAGAGAATACCTAAATCATTATTAACAGGCTATTGATAGAAATACGGACATGAAAGTGGCTGCTGGAGACCAGGCACAGTGGCTCACACCTGTGATCCCAGCATTTTAGGAAGCTCAGGC
Source organism: Homo sapiens (assembly GCF_000001405.40). Taxonomy (NCBI): domain Eukaryota; kingdom Metazoa; phylum Chordata; class Mammalia; order Primates; family Hominidae; genus Homo; species Homo sapiens. The sequence goes on along the minus strand of NC_000001.11, from coordinate 65,519,396 downwards.
AGGTGGATCACTTGAGCCCAGGGGTTTGAGACCAGCATGGGCAACATGGCAAAACCCAGTCTCTACTGAAAATACAAAAATTAGCAGGGTGTGGTGGTGTGCACCTGTAGTCCCAGCTACTTGGGAGACTGAGGTGGGGGAATTTCTTGAGCCTGGGAGGTGGAGGTTGCAGTAGGCTGAGATCACACCACTGCACTCCAGGCTGGGTGACAAAATGAGACCCGGAAGGAAGGAAGGAAGGAAAGGAAGGAAGGAAGGAAGGAAGGAAGGAAGGAAGGAAGGAAGGAGAGAGAGACACAGAGGATGGAAGGAAGGAGAGAAGGAAGGAAGGAAGGAAGGAGAGAGAGAAAGAAAGAAAAGAAAAGAAGAAAGAGAAAGAAAGAGAAAGAAAGAAGAAAGAAGGAAGGAAGGAAAGAGAGAGAGAAAAAGAAAAGAAAAAGAAGAAAGAAGAAAGAGAAAGAAAGAAACAGAGAAAGAGAGAAAGAAAGAAAGAAAGAAAGAAAGAAAGAAAGAAAGAAAGAAAAAGAAAGAAAGAAAGAAAAGAGAAAAAGAAAAAAGAAAAAAGCTGGCTGCTAGTGAGGACTCAGGTGGAAATGAGAAAGGTGTTATTGGAAACTGGAGGAAGGGTGATACTTGTTACATAGTGATAGAAAGCTTGGCAGAATTGTGTCCTGCAGTTATGTGGAAAGCAGAATTTGTAAACAATGAAGTTGGGCATATAGCTGAGGAGATTTTCAAGCAGTGTTGAAGGCACATTTTGGTTTCTCGCTGCTTATAGTAAGATGTAAAAGGAAAGATAAAAATTAGGGAAAGAACGGTGAAACCAAAAGTGGCCAGGACTTGATGACTTAAAATGTTATCAGCAAAAATTAAGGATTCGCTGCCAGAAAAGTGCATTGTAGAGAAAAAGCCAGAAGTGTGGCTGGTAACACTTTTGCTATTACCTCAGAAAGATAAAAATCAGTATTCAGTCACACAAAAGGCTCTTTAAAGAGATTAAACAGGTGACTCATGGACCCCCTCGGCCTTCTCAGCAGACCCCCAAAATAGAGACAAGATTATCTAAGAAAAATCTATAAACAAGCTTCTTTTCTTCAGGAGTGAATTTCTCTAATATACACAGGAAAACTACAAGATTCTTGAGAATTTTAAACCAGTGGAAACACTGCCACTTTGAAATTTAAAGGATAGAGTACAAGACAAAAGAAAGCTATTGGACCTCCAAAATTCCACAGACAAGAAACAGCCTGATAAAACTACTCGGATGTAAACACAGATCACACTACAAAACAGACAGAAATCCTAGGCCTACCAGAAACCTAATCAACAAAAACCTCTGGAGAAACAGGACTCTGCATTTTAATAGGCATACCAAATGAAATTGGAGAAAACTACATTTAGGAGGAAGGCAAGAATTATAGTTCACTTCACATATTGGAAAGACAGTCATGAGGAAAATATGGTAGACTATTCTATGTAGCTCCTGTAAACTGAACTAATGTCAATGTGTGGAATGAAGAGGGAGCCAGGTTTAAACCAAAACTGAGGAATAACTTTCTAACTCTCACAACAATTGGAAGTGGAATGGGCTTTCTGGTAAGACAATGCACTCTTCATCATAGATATTTTTAAATAGAGGCTAAATTATGTTCATCAGGAATGTCATAGGATGGGATTTGATGGGAGACGAGTTAGACTAGAATGATGGTGATTAAGGCCCCTACCACATCGAAGACTATTATTCAAAGCTACAACTTCAGAGCATTTAAATAAAAAAGATTTGAGGTGTAAATGATGAGTTAGAGAGTAAAAATGTTACTGAGTATCCGCAATAGAGTTGATCCACCATCCATAGAACATGACCAATTCTTCCCTCCAAAGGTGGTGATTGCTTTACTTACTTTGCCCACATTTGTTCTCCGTTGGTGAGGGGAGAGAAGTAACATACAGACAGAGATCAGAGATAACTTATTTTCAAGATGGTCAGGGTGAACTGGCAAATCTGAAACAGGAAAATTAACTGATGCAGATTATCACTTAAACATATATACACAGGCCCTGACTTTCACCAGCTCAGTTAAGCAGTCAAAGAACCACTAAGTAACTTCACAGCTTATGGTGCATTTGCTCTGCTCTGACTTTCAGATTGATTGTGTATGAATCTTTCAGGTCTGGAATACCAATACCCTGCAGGAACCACCAGTATCTATAGTTACAGGAGTATTTACCAAAGTTTTCTTGACTTTGACCAGCTTTATACACCGTATCCCATTTGTAATATCAAAGAAGTCTGGAACAAACTGGTAGAGGTAAAAGGACATTACTATTACCATCTAAAAACCATGGGAGATTACTCGAAACACTAAAATTTAATGAGAGATTTGAGACTGCTCGGTTATTATGGTGTAAAGAGAACCATGAAGCTTTGTCTTTCTTTTGCGATTTCGTGTTGCTACAATTGCTCTGGTTTGTCCTTGCCTTTGGAAGGGAAAAGGGTGATGGGGTGGCAAAATCAAGGTCTCAGAATAGGTGATGAGTCTTTATGAAATGGGTACAGAGGCACTTACATCTAACAGCAAAAGAGCTGCATTTTCAAACTTGAAAGGTGCTATGGTACAAAAGAATTCACCAATACAATTAATAGCAATAAAAATTCAAGTATATTCTTAGATTTAAGTAAATGCCTTCTTACGCACTGAGTTGCATTAGCTGGATAAACAATATAACTGTTTAATTAAATAATGGATTCTGAGACCAAAGTAAACATTAGAAGAGAAAACCTTTTACATAAAGATGTTTAATTTTGGGGGTCACTTGACATGCCATTTGCAGATAATTAGTAGGCTTGCTTATTTGAGTAAATGGCAACCAGTATCTCTGCTTGAGCCGGAAACACATTTAGCAATGGAAAGTAGTTTTTTTTGGTTTGGTTTGGTTTGGTTTGTTTTTTTTTGAGACGGAGTCTCGCTCTTTCGCCCAGGCTGGAGTGCAGTGGAGTGATCTCGGCTCACTGCAACCTCCACCTCCTGGGTTCAAGTGATTCTCCTGCCTCAGCCTCCCAAGTAGCTGGGATTACAGGTGTGTGCCACCACGCCGGGCTAATCCGGCTAATTTTTTTGTATTTTTAGTAGAGACAGGGTTTCACCATGTTAGCCAGGATGGTCTCAATCTCCTGACCTTGTGATCCGCCTGCCTCAGCCTCCCAAAGTGCTGAGATTACAGGTGTGAGCCACCTGTAATCAAGGAAAATTCTAAACCTTGAGTATAAAAGTTGACTTAATGAAAGCCTAAAATCAATTTTACACATTAAATGCAAATGGTAACTGTAAAATACATTTCATTCTTCAAAAAGTTTTAGCAATTTAAAGTTAAACCAAATAGCTAATAAGCAATAAAAGAAAAGTACTTTAAAATTTTAGAAAGGAAATTGAACAACAAATCAGGAGAATCTGAGTTTCAAAATCCTTAATTAACAGGATAATTGATATCAACTAACCAAGTTGACTATCTTAAGTGCTAGCAATTTTTTCTTTAAATTTCATGATATTCAAAATGTATCTTACTAAAGTGCTATCTCCAGGCCCAGCCAGATAATTTAACCCAAATTCTCCAGGACACACAGTTTTTATAGTGCTCATTATACAATACGATAGTCTACTCATATAGTTGCTCCATTAATGCTTTTTGAATGAAAGGGGCATTCTATGAAAGAAAGACAAGAGGAACAAATACATACAGAACAAACGAACACTCTATTGTCAAGCCATAAATTGAGAAAAACAAATACTAATAACAAGAAAGTTTAGACATTAAAATACTTCAGGATATCCTTATGCTTTTCTAAGAAGTTCTAAGAAGGTATTCTTGGGGTACAAAAGTAAAAATAAAACTGTATCTATAACTTATATTAAAAAATAAATATGAGATGTTTAGAGAACAGTTATATGAACACTTACCTACACAAAAAATGGTTTTGTCATTCCTTCTAGGAATTTAAGTTTCCATGAGATATTCTTAAGGTACAGCCTTGACCATTTTACGGACTTGCTCAAAAGCATCTGTGTCTCTGCACTGCCTACAGGATAAAGTTTAAACTAAGTCTGGAACTGAAATTCGTTCTCAGAGTATTGTCAACTTAATTTACCAGTGTTTTCTTCCGCTTCAGCAGAGAACTCACAGTGACTTAAGAGCATCTTTGCATTTATTTTCACTTCCTGGTTTTGTTCATGCTATGCCATCCTGAATGTTATTCCTTCATTCCACAGCATCCCTCCCTCAACCATCACCCACCACCATCATCTGCTGGCTGAGATCCTGGCCAATACGTCAAGATCCAACAAAATATTCCTTGTAATCTCCCAGATTGGGACCATGCTATCTAAGGTCTATGATCGTTTATAAATTTATTTGGTTTCCATTTTATCATGAAACATTATCTGATTCATCTAATGATTGCTTATGCGTATCCCTATATAAATGCCCTGAGGGCAAATGTTATGTCTTATTAATGTTGTTTCGCTATTTCCTAAAGTATTTATGACAGTATCTTAGATTTAGAAATTGCTCAAATAATATATATTGGACTCAAGTATAAAAGGCAAATTTTACTGTTTCCCATTTGTATAACTAAAAAGAACAAAAAAGTGATTTGAAGAATAGATACTTCACAATGATTATATGCCTATAATTTGTTTTAAATTCACATACCGAAGGGATTTTTATTCTAAATTACCACAGAACATATATTATAGGAATTATATATTCAGCATAATCTAAATGGATTTTAAAATATATATGCATAAGAAAAAATGATGAGCTATACACCAAAATGTTATCAAAGGCATCTTCAGATTATGGAATAATGCATAAGTTTATTTTCCTGTTTATATTTACTTTTCTAATTTATCTACAACAATCATAGGTTTACTAAAATAATTGGGAGGAAAACAGCTATTTGAAAATATCTATGTAAGACCATGTGTTCTTTGGAAGCTCTTCCTGGGAACTAGAACCATTCAGATGCTCCTACAGGCCTGGGGCTGCCCAGTTACTGTTGGTGGCTCTTCACTGGCCAATTGCTCAACGTGTAACTCATTTAGACTCCTGATCTGTTGAAACATCTTTCCTTGCCCTTTGGAATCTGCTGGCATGAATATGGCAGAATCATATTTCCTTGACTATCTGAAAAGCTATGTAACAGCAGTGAAATTCAAGCAGCTATTTACACTGTGATCAAGAAACTGTTCAGAGTTGAAAGGCAAGTCAATTGGATTGTTTGTTTATAATCTCATACCAAGAGCAAAAATTACTTAACCCCAAGATTAAAATTAACAACAGAACGTGGACTAAAATATGACTTCCCCAAGGAATTTTTTTTACATTTTTTCAGTACTTCATGCAGTAACCGAATTTTCTTTATCTATTTGCCTATTTCTCATAAATGAGCAACACAGTGTAAGAAAAACTACAAAATTATCCAAATTGTATACATAAGCCAAATTATTTTTTATTTCCTTGCACCTGAAAGAATATCAAGAAAAATAAAGGGAATAAATCTTGAGAAATAACTCCTAGAATATTACCTGAAAAGGCTGTTATAAATAAGCAGTTGGCCAGAATAAAGCTATTTCAGAATTATGCAGCTAAGTAAAGTTTTTGTAGAGAAGTATTTCAGATTTAAGTCCCTATGAACCTGAAAGGAAATTGGCCAACATTTCTGACAATCCTGATAATTGGTACACACATACTACAAACCAATTTTCACGAAGCACAAAGCACTTTATTCTCTGCAGGAGTATAATGGGATTTGACAGCAAAACCCACCAGGCCTATTCCCTGACCTATATGCCAACTCTCATGGTTAAACTGCTGCAAAGTTTACAAATTTACAATGAAATGGCTGTGTTATTTTTTTTCCAGAGCCCAGGTTCTAATTCTGAACTAATGAGTCATAAAAGACATAGTCAGTATCTTGTTCATAATTTTAGTTTCTTGCTTTGATCATATCAATGTGACATTAAGGAAACCTTTATTAGTATAGGCACACAAGGTAGATAATGCAGTTCAGTGTTTTTATCAGCCTGTTCCCCTCCTCCTCTACCTCTGATCAAAGTATTTATTCCCTTTTGGCAGAGAAACTGTTCCTTCCCTAACACCAAGCACATGGATCTAGGCAGAGCTACCAGTTACAGCATGCTGGCTTCAGAGGCCACATAGCAAGAGCTCCAAGCTGGAACCATCATAGTATCTCACATTCCTAACTCTGTAATTGGTAAATAGGATGAGAACATGACTAGAAAAAGGCCAGTCAAGATTGTTCTCTGAAGCTTTTCAAACAGGAGCTTGGATGAGGGCACCATGCTGTAAGAGTCAAGGAGGTGAAGAGCTTTTTCCTTCCAGATGGTGAATATATGCAGTTGCAAGCTGCAGCTGCTAGTAGCCAGGTTCTCTGCCGCATATAAGAACACAGTCTGAAGTAGAAGACAAAATTTAAATTTCAGGTCACATAAGCAGATGATCAGAAAGCGTGGCTTAATTTTTTCATGCAACTGAACTTAATTTCTTCAATGAGATCCTGTTTTACTAGATGATAGAAACTCAGCCTCAATGAATTCAGGCTCCCATTTCTTTTCCTTCAGTTCACATCTAATTTTAAGCAAGGGACACGGGACAGAAGGAAGGCAGGGCCAGAATAAGCAAACGTTCTGATATTTGGTCATTTGTTGAATTTGGCATCTCCCTCCTCATCCTGTCTGTTTTTCAAGTGTTGATCTACATGGATCCATGCCAAAGGTCACTTCAGGATCAATGACTCTCCTTCCTGGCCCCTGATGCCCTGCTGAAGTGCATTGAAAAGTGTTCTCCAGCACCATTCTGGGATCTGGGCACCTGGGTGAAGGCGCAGCAACATGACTATGCTAGGCTCAGGAATTAGTCTACTGCTCCTACACCTTGCTGAGGCAAGTTGGAACTCCATGAGGCTGCTTCAGATCTGAGGACCTTCATCACGCAGCTATTCCTACATACTGCCCCATGCTACCTGATAGGGTTTAGATTTGTGTCCCCGCCCAAATCTCATGTCCAGTTGTAATCCCCAGTGTTGGAGGTGGGGCCTGGAGGGAGGTGATTGGATCATGGGGGCAGTTTCTATTGAATAGTTTAGCACCATCCCCTTGGTGCTGTTCTTGTGGTAGTGAGTGGGAGGTGTCTGGGTCATGGGGGCAAATCTCTCATGGGTCTTTGCTGTCCTCGCTGTAATGAGTGAGTTCTCACAACATCTGCTGGTTTAAAAGTGTGTAGCATCTCCCCCTTCACCCTCTTGTTCCTGCTCCCACCATGTGAAACAGCTTGCTCCCCGTTTGCCTTCTGCCATGATTGGAAGCTTCCTGAGGCGTCCCCAGAAGCAGAAGTCACTACGCTTCCTGTACAGTCTGCAGAACCATGAGTCAATTTAACCTCTTTTCTCTATAAATTACCCAGTCTCAGGTATTTCTTTACAGCAATTAGAGAGCAGACTAATACACTAACCCGAGTTGCAGAGGGGTTTTCTCTCCACCCCTAGCTCTATCTGGAATAAAGGGGAGTAGCTCTTTCTACTCTGTTATTCTCTCAGCTGTTGTGATAGTTTTCTACAGATTGTGGCATTTTCCTGCATTTGCTAGTCTCTCAGGGACAACTCTTCAAACTTAGTCCTCTCTTTTCTGAACAAAAATTACCCTGTTCATTCAACTACCTCTTGCATGGCAGAATTGGAATGTGAAATTTTTTAGTGTAGGAATAAGATCTTACTTCTAAAAAAAGTTTCAAGTTAAATCAGTTCTTAGCACATATGCTCTTAAAAAATGTTTTGTGAATACACAGATGAATTAATGAATGGGGCAATGTGATTGCAAGACCTTGGTTGCCATCTTTTGGGAAAAATACACGTGTGTGTGTGTGTGTGTGTGTGTGTGTGTGTGTGTGTGTGTATACATATATATATGAACACTAGAGCAATACTTTTCAAATTTGGATGTCCACATGAATTACCTGGAGATCCTATTGAATGTAGATTCTGATTCAGGTCTGGATTGGGGTCTGAGACTCTTCATTTCTAACCAGATTCCAGGTTGTGTGGATGTTGGTGGTCCTAGAACCACATCTCTAGTCACACTGCTCTAGAATCATCTGACAATGGGGCTCTTTAGGACACACTGGGTTGCCAGTCACTGGAAGTATTTAAGCAGATGTTACTGTTTGTCAGAAATGTGACAGAAAGAATGTAAGATTGTTAATAATAGGGGAAACTGGGTGTACAGTACACGAGAACTTTCTGTACTATCTTTGCAATTTTTCTTTAGCTCTAAAACAATTCTAAAATAAGTGTTTTGTTTTGTTTTTTTTGTGAGACAGGGTCTCACTCTGTCACCCAGGGTGGGGTGCAGTGGGAGTGTCTATTGCTCCTCCCCCAGAGGGTTCAGTCCTCAGAGATGAATTTCACAGAGTACTTCAAAGTTTTTGTTTCAATTACAGATTGGCTGTACTTGACATTATAAAACATATTCAATTTAAAACAATAAACACAAATGCCCCCTGTGTGTTGCCTAGTGACAGTATCATCTACTAGGTGCAGGGCCCCTTTCCCAGTGGTACCAACTCAGCTGTCTTTCTTTCCCTTTTGGCTTTCCTTTTCCCGCTAACGTGGGATAGCTCTCTTAATCTTCAGAGCCTGAATTCAATCCTAGTCTGCGCTTTTGAGATTCAAAAACACAGTGTGCTGTAACGTCTCCTTCTGTGGCAATGCACATAAAAATGCCAATGAATAGATGAGGGTTATGGGGTAAATAAAGTACTGGTGGAAACACATAAGGTAATCAAAGTATTCCTCCACAGAGAGCACAGTGTCCAGAAAGAAGGAGCAAAGGCCACGTGAGGGAAGTGTGCTGCTGCATTACCTAAGTCTTGGCCCTAGGTTCTGAGTCCCTTCTAAAGTGCTTGCTTCTGCCTTGCTAAAGCTCAATTGATCCAGTCTTCCTTTAATTCTGTGAGTTACCTAAGGATCTCTCCTCAATTCCCTCTTTTTACTTAAGCTAATTGTAGCTACATTTTTGCCACTTGCACCCTATAGAATCCCACCCAAAATAATAGCTTAGCCAAAAAGGAGAATTTTTATTTCATGGAATCAGAAAAATTTCAACAGTCAGGCAACAGGAATGGGAGATATGTAGATGGTCTTCGGGAACCCTAAAATCACCAGTAATCCTATCTCTTGTCTCTGCTTCTCCATATGAGTCAGTTTCATTTCCTGTTACTGACCAACTCTCTCCACATAGTGGAAAACATAGTGCTGACCATTCCCAGGTTTTCCATAGGGTGGTTTCCATCACCAGATAAAGGAAGAAATAAATCAGTTTCCATTATTTTGTTTAAGTAGTAGAAATGTCAAGAGAAAGAAAATTCTTGAGTTCTCTAATTATTCCATGCCATGTGGACGACAGCTTGTGTTTGGATTGTAATGGTAAAGAAAAACTCCTCTTTATGACCAAGCTATCCAGCCCTTTTAAAACTCCCTTTTAAATGTATACAAAGGAAAAAAATGAATTGGAAAAGATTGCTCTGTGTTTTTCTTAAGGTAAAGTCAGAAAACAGAAAGTAATGAGAATAAAAACAAAGGAAGTTTTTAAACAGATAAAAATTTAAAAAACAATTGTGTGTTAATTCCTTTTCACTCAATATTAAATATAACATAACATAACAAAGAAGGACCTCATATTCCCAACACAGAAGAATTTTAAAGTCAAGGAGACTAAACTGTGATAAACATACGCCCTGTTTCTTGTACCCTATCCAAGCATAAGATACTGTAAAATTTTTCTTTCTGTTCTAAATTTGATGTACTTGACATTATAAAACACATTCAATTGAAAACATCAATAAACAAAAATGCCCACAGAATGAAGGACAAAAAACATATGATCATCATAATAGATGCAGAAAAGGGTTTGACAGAATTAAACATCCTTTCATGATAAAAACGCTCAACAAATTCAGAGTAGAAAGAATGTTCCTCAACACAATAAAGGCCATACACACCAAACCCATAGCTAATGTCACAATCAATTGTGAACGCTGAAGATTTTTCTCTAAGATCAGAAACAGGGCAAGGATATCCACTCTCACCGCTCCTATGCAACATAGTACGGGAAGTCCTAGCCAGAGCAATTAGGCAAGAGAAAAGAAGTAAAAGGCATCCAAATTGGAAAGAAAGAAGTAAAATTATCTCTTTTTGCTGATGACATGCTCTTATAGATGGAAAATCCTGAAGACCTAACCAAAAAAATTAATAAAACTCATAAACTAACTCAGTAAAGTTGCAGGATACAAAATTAACCTACAAAAATCAGTAGCATTCCTATAGACAAACCATAAACTAACTGAAAAAGAAACGAGGAAAACAATCCCATTTACATTAGTATCAAAAAAAATAAAATACTTAGGAGTAATTTAACCGAGGAAGTGGAAGATCTGTATACCAAAAACTATAAAACATTGATGAAATAAATTGAAAATTATACAAATAAATGGAAAGATATTGTGCGCTCATGGAGTGGAAGAATTTATATTTTTTAAACATCCATATTACTCAAAGCAATCTACAGAGTCATTGCAATCCCTACCAAAATGCTAATGTCATTCTTCACAGAAATTTTTTAAAATTCTAAAATTTGTATGAAGTCCAAAAGACCCCAAATAGCCAAAGCAATCTTGACCAGAAAGAAAAGTCAAAGCCAGGGTCATCACACTATCAGATGTCAAAATATATTACTAAATTATAGTAATCAAAACAACATGGTACTGGCATAAAAACAGACACATAGACCAACAGAATAGCACAGAGAGCTCAGGAATAAACCTATACATCTACAGTCAATTGATTTTTGACAAAGATACCAAGCACACACAATGGGGAAAGGACATCTCTTCAATAAATCATATTGTGAAAACTGGATATCCACATGAAGAATAATCAAAATGTACCATTACCTTATCCCTTATAGAAGATTCAACTCAAAATGGATTAAAGACTTAAACATAGGACCTGAAACTATAAAACTACTAGAAGAAAACCTAGGGAAAAGTTTCACGACATTGGTCTGGGGAATGATTTCTTGGCTATAATGCCAAAACCACAGGCAATAAAAGCAAAAATAGACAGATGGGATTGCGTCAAACTAAAAACTCTGCACAATAAAGGAAAATCTCAAAAGAGTAAAGAAACAACCCATAAACTGGGAAAAAGTATTTTAAGTTATACATTGGATAAGAGGCTAATATCTAAAATACACAAGAAACTCAAACTACTCAATAACAAGAAAACAAATAACCCAATGAAAAAACTGGCAAAGAATTTCCATAGACATTTCTCAGGAGAAGACATACAAATGGCCAAGACATACATTTACCAAAATGCTCAACATTTCTAATTATCAGAGAAATGCATATTAAAACTACAATGGGATATCACCTCATGCCTGTTAGATCAGCTATTTCGAAAGATAAGTATTAGCAAGTATGTGGAGAAGGAACCCTTGTACACTGTTGGTGGTATTACAATTAAGTGCAGCAATTTTGAAAACAATTTTGAAAAACAGTATGAAGTTTTAAAAATATGAAAACTAAAAATAGATTTACCTTATGATCTAGAAATTCTACCTCTGGGTATATGCAAAAGAATTGAAATCATATGTCAAAGAGATGTCTGCACTCCTATGCTCATTGCAGCATTATTCACAGTAGCCAAGATATGGAAACAACCTAAGTGTTCATCAACAAATGAATGGATTTTTTTTAATGTTGTGTGTGTGTGTATATATATATATACACACATATATATACACATATATATGTATATATATATACACACACATATATACATATATATGTGTATATATATATATACACACACACACACACACACACAATGGAATACTATTCAGCATTTTAAAAAACTCTGTCATTTGGGACAATATGAATGAACCTAGAGGGCATTATGTTAAGTGAAATAAGCAGTTGGGCATGGTGGCTCACACCTATCATCCCAGCACTTTGGGAGGCTGAGGCAGACAGATCACTTGACTTCAGCAGTTCGAGACTACCCTGGCCAAGATGGTGAAATCCCGTCTCTACTAAAAGTACAAAAATTAACCAGGCGTGGTGGCGGGTGCCTGTAATCCCAGCTACTTGGGAGGCTGAAGCAGGAGGATCGTTTGAACCCAGGAGGCAGAGGTTGCAGTGAGCCAAGATTGCGCCACTGCACTCCAGCCTGGGCGATAGAGCAAGACTTGGTCTCAAAAAAAATGAAATAAGCCAGGCGTGGCTAGACAAATACCCCACTTTTATGTGGAATCTTAAAAAGTCAAACTCATAGAAACAGAGAGTAAAAAGGTGGTAACCAAAGGCTGGCAGTGGGTGAGAGTGTGGACAGGGAAAGGAGAGATATTGTTCAGCTGATACGAAGTTTCAGTTAGGAATAAGTTCTGGTGTTCTATTGGACAGCATACTGACTGCAATAATAATGTATTGCATATTTCAAAATCTCTAAGAGAGGATTTTAAGTGTTCTCACCACAAAGAAATGATAAATATTTGAAATGACTGATAATGCTAATTAGCCTGATTTGATCATCCCACAGAGTATACATGTATCAGAATATCATATTGTACCCCCATAAATTTATAAAATTACTATTTGTCAATTAAAAATAAACTAGAATTTGGAGGAAAAAAAAAGTTCCCAGTCTGTATTGCTTAATGAGCTTTTGTAATTATTTATAAGAAAAAAGACTTAGACTAGTATAAAGTTAACAGCGCTGGATCTGTGAACATGGAAGTTCTAAGTCACTGTCACACTGCATCCATACTTAATTGAAGAGTCCTTGCAACTTCTTGCTAAAACTTTCAGATGCACTCTTTTCCTCTTCTCCATCCCTTCCCCCATCAGATCTCCAGTGAAATGCAATACGTGTGTTTTTGAGACTCAAAACATAGTGTGCTGTAAAATCTCCTTCTGTGTCAGTGGATACAAAAATAACCACTTCAATTTTTATCGATCCTCCTACTTTTCCCAGATACTACTTCCCTCTTTACCAGGAGTGGGACAATATGTTATGCAAACAACTGAATCCCGGTAACTTGAGTGTCTACTGTGACAGCCATTGGCAACTTTCATCAGATTTGTAAGATTCTTGTGGTAAAGTGAATGATAGCTGAATCCCCTTAATGTTTCAAAGTTGAATTCTCACTTAGGTCAATGGTTCCCAGACTCCAGTTTTGAAAATGAAATTTCAAAAATATGTGGGGAACCAGCATGTTTGCCAGCTCTTACTTTTGCCAAATAAGGCCTTAGGGAAAATAATGTTCGCTATTATCAACATTGTTTCACAAAACAAAGAACATTTTTAAGGCCAGAAAAGTAGGCAAGACGTTATCTTGGCTTAAAAAGAGGTGGGGGAGAAAGAGTCATCATTTCCAGAGAATTGACAATGATAGACTAATTGCATCAGTCAGAAAGCCTATCAGGAAACAGATGACACCCTCAAAAAGTTAAAATATTTCAGTAAAGAGACAATTTACAGAGATATTAGTAAAGTTAAAAAAAAAAAAAAGGGATGGTGAGTTACCTAGAGACTAGCAACAGCAGGAAACCATTACTCCCTCTTAGTTTGAAGGGGTGAGAAAAGGCAACTGTGTTTCCAGAGCCAAGTGTGAGCCAGAGGGGGTGGGAGCTGGAGTTGCAACAAACGCAGCCACTGCCAGAACCATGATGAAGAAGGGAAAGACTTGGGTTAAAACGATGATACCTGTCTCCTCCATCTTGCCTAAACCTAACTGGAAATCAGAGAGCAAGGAGGCCTGAGGATTGCAGTCCATAGAGTCAGCCTCCTGGAGTACAAACAAGGTCAAAAAACGGCAGAAAAATGGAATCGTGGTGGAATCCACCAAAGCATATTAATGTGGGATCAGACAGCATAGGGATCAGACAGAGGAAAGAGTATGCATGTCATATCCTTTTTTCTTTTTTTCATTTCAATTGGAGGAAAATTACGAGACATTTTAAGATGTAATATTGCTTGTAATTATATGCTTGATACATTTGTCAGTTAGGAGCTCAATATCCAATAGTGTAACATCAAGTGGTGCTCAAATGGGCAACATGTTCCAGTACTTTATTTTTATCATACTCATAATTAAAATTTTGACTTCACATAGGTACAAAATGGAGGCAACACACAACATTTTCATTTAGCTCAGGACATTTTGTATGAATTAAGGAGTACCAAAATATAACAGCTACCACAGCTCAGGGACTTCTACTACAGAGGTTTCCAGTGCTGCACGTTGACAGCACTTGAGATGTTTAAAAAATACTGATCCCTTCTCACACCCTAGAAATTCTGATTTAATTGGAATGGGGTAAAACTTGGAATGAGATTTTTTAAAATAAACTTTTTATTTATTTTAAAAGATTTAGATGCTCAGAAAAGTGATAAAGATAGTAGAATTCCCATATACTTCACACCCAATCTCCCCTATTATTTCTATCCTATATAAGTGAGGTGCATTGGTCATAACCAATGAACCAATATTGGTACATAATTTTTAATTAATGTCCATACTTTATTCATATTTTAGTAGTTATTAACCTCACACTATTTTTCTGTTCCAGTATCCCAACCAGGGTGCTGCATTACTTGCAGTCGCATGCCACCGTAGACTGCTCTTGGCTATGACAACTTCTCAGACTTTTCTTGTTTTTGATGGCCTTGACAGTTTTAAGAAGTACTGATATTTTGTACAATGCCCCTCAATTGTGATTTGCTTAATGCTTTTCTCAGGATTGCAGTGTGATGTTTGTTACATGCAGAGGAAGACCACAGAAGTTAAGTGTCATTTCCATTGCATCATACAAGAGTACATACTATCAACATGACCTACCACTTTAATATTGACCTTGATCACCTGGCTGAGGTAGTGTTTATCAGGTTTCACCCTTTAAAGTTACTCTTTTCTAAGCTTTCCATATGGTACTCTTTGGAAGGAAATCACTATGCACGATCCATGCTTACAGAGTAGGAGTTATGTTCTACCTCCTTGAGGATGGAAGAGCTTCACAAACTATTTGAAATTCTCCTGCACAGGAGATGTATCTTGTTCCCTATTTG
This sequence comes from Homo sapiens, assembly GCF_000001405.40. Lineage (NCBI taxonomy): Eukaryota > Metazoa > Chordata > Mammalia > Primates > Hominidae > Homo > Homo sapiens. Next base: position 65,504,197 of record NC_000001.11, on the reverse strand, counting down.
TTTACTTACTCGACTGTTTATTTATGTCAGTGTAGACAGGAATATTTATTGTATATATACCTGAATCATAATCCATTGCTACCTTATTTATCTTATTGCTCAAATCGTCCCAGCGTAGGCCATTAGGAACTGCTTACATTGGCTCTAGTCTCCCTTTGATGTGCTCCATCATTGTGGGTATTAAGTACTTCTTTCTTTTAAGAAACTACAACATGCTCCAGACTTATATTGTATGCTTCCTGAGAATCAGCCGTCTCTCTAAGGATCCCTGGTTCCTTTTATTGGAACAAATAGTATTAGAAACAAAGATCTGACTTGTTAGGTGTATCCTTGTATCTTGACCTCTTCAGCTGACAGAGCAAAATGTGTGTGTGTGTGTGTGTGTGTGTGTGTGTGTGTGTAGCTAACTTCAGTATATATACGTATCTATAAATATTTCTATATGTAAACGTCTGTACCTATAATAATGTAAGCATGAGTTCATACTGATGTCTCTAACTCTAATCCATAACCATATGAATCATTCTTGCCTTCTCCCCATGCTTTCCTGTAAGCTCCCACTTCAACAGTGAGAAACCTGGCTCGTGCTTCCTGCTATCCACATTCCATTTACTTAATTCTTCAGTTCCAGATTAGATGTATGATGGTTTCAGAATTGTTAACCTGTTCCCCCATGGGAGACTTTATCAACTAGATTACCGTGCTTACATACAATTATTTTTCCCTTTAGTCTTACAATCTCTGCTCATTTCTAAAGTTATTCAGGCTAGCAACTTTTTCTGCCAGTCCCTTCAGTGAGGTTTTATCATATGTTTGTAGCATTGTTAATTGTTTAGTCATGTTCTATATTCCACCCTGTGACCCTCTGACCTCAGAAATAATTTTTTTTACAATTTTCATACATTAAGTTTCACTCTGTACTGTAAAGTTCTATGGGTTTTGATAAATGCATGGCGTTGAGTACCCACCATTATGGTATCATGCAGAATGGTTTCATCACTTACAAAGAGTATCCTTTGTGCTTCACCTGTTCAACCTTCCTCTCTCCCCAAACCCCAGTAATGTCTGATTTATTTGTTGCCTCCATAGTTTTGCCTTTCCAGAATGTCCTATAAATAATGAAATCATACAGTGTGTAGCCTTTTCAGACTGGCATCTTTCTCTTTGTCTCTCTGTCTCTTTCTCTCTCTTTCTCTCTCCCTCCCTCATCCATACCCTCCCCCATTTTGCCTGCTCACCCTTCTTTTTGTATTAACTTCATTCTGGGGACTGGTTTTCTCTACAAGTTAGTCCCCAGTAGCTCCATAGCTCCCCCACCCCCATTCTCTCTGACATGTTACTCTCCCCCCAGGCTCTATACATTTCAGCCCCACTGGCTTCTTGATGTTGTCTCTTGAACATGTCAGACACAATCCCAAATCAGGGTCTTTGAACTTGCTACTTCCTAAACCTGGGATCCTCTGCCTCTTCCTCATCTTATTCAGATATTTGTTAAAATTTCAGCCTCACAATGAAGGCTTCATAACTATAAAATTGCAACTTTCTATATGATGATTTCTCTGACTTCTTTTCTCTGTAGCACTTAGTCTGATCTGACATATATTTTACTTATTTATTGTTATTCCCTTTCTCCATCCGCTAGAACATCAGCTCCACAGGGAAGCTATATCGTCAGCACCCAGAATAGCATCTGGACCACACTAGTCACTAAATCAGTAACTAAAAATTGCTGTATTCGTTTGCTAAGCTGCCATAAAAAAAAAATGCCAGTCTGGGTGGCTTAAACATCAGAAATGTGTTTTTTTACAGTTCTGGGCTGAAAGTCCAAGATCAAGGTGCCAGCAGGCTTGGTTTCTCCTAAAACCTCTCTCCTTGGTTTACAGATGGTCATTTTCTCAAATGGTCTTTCCTCTGGGTGCACACATACCTGGAGTCTCTTGGTATGTCCAAATTTCCCTGTCTTATGATGACTTCATAAGACATATTACATTAGGGTTCACCTTAATAGCCTCATTTCAATTTAATTGTCTCTTTCAAGGCCCTACCTCCAAATACAGTTACCTTCTGATGTACTGGGCGTTGGGGTTTCAACATAGAAATTTGGGGAATGTACAATTCAGCCCACAAAAATTACCCTTCCAGTGGTCAATCATTTCCTCTTGTTTTCTTTAAGAAGGAGACAAAGATGAGGACCACTGATTATGTATCTCATATAACTTTCACATTGCCAATGTTACCTTATTAAATACTCTTACTCTCTTCTTCAAAAGTAACATTTGTTAAATATTTTTAAAGGCTCCACCACCTCAAGTGTGGTTCTAAAGGAAAAGCTAAGGGAATATAGTCACATTCAAGGAGGACGCATCAGAACACTGTATCTCGAATATCCTCCTTGGACCCTTGTGTTACACCTGTTTTATGATTCACATATTTGACACTGCCAAATTTTAGTTTTCCTCATTATTTAAATAATTGCTGAGAGAAGGGAGCCTAAGAAATCACTCTGAAGAAACCTAATATTTAAGGGAGAGGCAAGAAATGGGAACGCTACTGTTTTGGGTTGAATTGTATCCCCCCAAAAGATGTGTTCAAGTCCTAACCCCTAGTACCTGTGAATGTGACCTTATTTGAAAATAGGCTCTATGCAGATGTAATCAAATTAGGATGAGAGGTCATTGTTGATTAGGATGAGACCTAATCCAATATGACCAGTGTCCTTATAAGAAGAGAAACAGACACAAGGTTTTCCTCCTTGTGTCTGTTTCTCTTCTTTTAAGGACACCAGTGACAGAGGGAAGACAGCCACATGAAAATGGAGGCAGAGATTAGAGTTATGCTGCCACAGAACAAGGAATGCCTGAGGCTACCAAAAGCTAAAAGAGGCAAGGGATATTCTCCCCTAAAGGCTTCAGAGGGAGTATGGCCCTCCCAACACCTTGATTTTGAACTTCTAGCCTCCAGAATTCTGAGATAATAAATTCATGTTGTTTTAAGCCACCCAGTTTGTAGTATGTTTTAAAGGCAGTCCTAGGAAATGAATAAATTCACTGAGAAGACTGAGAAAGAGAAGCCATATAGGTAGTAAGAAAACCAGAATGTTTCAGAAGTCAGAGGAGGAAAATGGATGGAAAGTCACTTGTATTGTCAACTACTCTATGCAGGTTAAATCATATCTAAATCAGGAAGTGTCCACTGATTTGAGCATTATACGAATGTATAGAACTTTATTATTAATATTATGAGGAATTACTAGGCAATTCCAGAAGAACAGAAATCACTTCTGTCCAAAGTATTCAGGAAGACTTCATAGAGGGCATGACATTGATGCTGGAATTTAAAGAATAACCTTTCAAAGTGCAGAAATGGAAGGTATAGTTGAACAACGTGGGGGTTAAGGGTGCCAACACCTCGTGCAGTAGAAACTTGCATATAACTTTTGACTCCCCAAGCACTTAATTACTAATTACCCACTGTTAACCAAAAGCCTTACAAATAATGTTGTCAATTAACACATATTTTGTATGCTACATGTATTATATACTATATTCTTACAGTAAGTTAAACTAGAGAAAAGAAAATGTTATTCAGAAAATCGTAAGTTAGACAAAATATATTTACTATTCATTAAGTGGAAATGGATCATCATAAAGGTCTTATCCTCACTGTCTTCATGTTGAGTAGGCTGAGGGGGAAGAGGAAAAGGTAGGCTTAATCTTACCCTCTCAGGGTGACAGATGCAGAGGAAAATCTGTGTATAAGTGAAACTGCACTGTTCAAACTCATGTTGTTTAAGGGTCAACTGTATTATAGTCAGGGGAAAAGTGAATGAAATTATGGAGGAAAAATATTTCAGAACATATTGAGGAACTGGCCAATATAACATAGGGTCTTTATAAAGGAGATGTTATTTGTTGGGGGGGTCTGTATTAGTCTGTTTTCACACTGTTATAAATAACTACCTGAGACTGGGTTATTTATAAAGAAAAGAGGTGTAATGGACTCACAGTTCCACATGGCTGAGGAGGCCTCAGGAAACTTACAATCATGGCAGAAGGTGAAGGGGAAGCAAGGCGCATCTTACATGGCACCAGGAAAGGGAGAGCAATGGAGGAAGTGCCATATTTTTAAGCCATCAGATCTCATGAGAACTCATTCACTATTATGAGAGCAGCATGCAGGAAATCCAACCCCATGACCCAATCACTTCCCACAAGCTCCCTCCCCTGACATGTGGGGATTACAATTTAACATGAGAGTTGGAGGGGGACACAGCCCAACTAGGTCAGGGTCAGAACATGGATGTCCTTAAATGCTGTGATAAGGAATCTGAACTCTTTTCTAGAAAATCAGAAATGGCACAGTCTTAAATGTAAGTTAGGAAGGTTGTGTGTAAAATTTTATACAAATACTTGGGGTAAACAAACATCGATGAGCTGTAGACAAGGAATACTGGGAGGTATTAAATGCCTAAAGAAGATGTCTGCAGATTTGATCCTAAGGGACAGTGGGAATGGAAATGTGGTTCTTATTTTTGAAGCCCTAACACATGCCAGGCCCCCTACTGACTGCATTATATATGTTACTACACTAAACCTGACAACATTTCTCCGTGGTGGAATTTATCCTCCTAATTGTATACTCGTGAAGGCTGGGACTCAAAGACATTAAGTATCTTCCCGGAATTCACATATCTAATAATGGTGGGGCTGATATTTATATCCAGAAATTTGGTATAATTTTAGGCTCCTGCCTCATCGATTTGCCCCAACCCAACCCAACCTACAGCTCATGTTGAAAATTTTGGATTATTCAGAAAACATATTAAATGAGGCTTTACATATTTTTCCATTTTACGCCACCCACCCCACACACCCTTAAAAAAGAAGAATATTTTGAAAATGCAGGAATTCTCTTTGGGAAACTCGCTATATTCTTGACTTACAATTAGTTTGCCATCTATTTCCCCCCATCTTTCCTATGTCCTAAAATACAGTGTCTCACTCTTATAAGCATTTAATAGCTTTCCTTTTCCTGCTGGCACCAGAGAACATAAAGGGCATTTAGACATAGTAAAGTGCCCTTTGAACTCTCTGTAAAGTGAATGCTGCTACTCAAGTGCACATTGGCTTTCCTTTTAGACTAGGATCACTTAGTATTTCTCTGTCAGAGACTCGCTGATGGCCATTTACCCTTGAGACATACATGAATGAACCAGACAATGTTCTAATGATACTCAATTGGAAAGAAAACTGTGCCTTGATTCCTGCTTGTAAGGTTATTGACTCAAGATAAAGATGCAAACTTTTAAAGAGAGCATTCTTCTATGTTTGATAAAAGAGGACTTGAGCTATTCTTCAATCAGCTTTTAAAGAAAACATTCATTTATTTATTTTTAAACAGTAAAATATTATGGAGTCAAGCATATACCTGGGTATTTAAAGAAATGATCAATGTCTTTGCAAGGTAACTGGCTTCCAGCTTTTGAGAATCTAAACTAAACAAAAAACAGGAGAAACTGAGAATTAGGAGGGAAAAGGAACAAGGACCAAATAAATGCCTTTCCTTCTTCTGTTTATATAATAAATGCACTTATTGTTGCCATGGCAAAAGAGCTAGTCTATTTTTTCCATTCCTCCGTCTCTACCCATTATTATACCCAACACCAGAAAATGTCATATTTCGCCATCGTCATTCTTGGGTCATTATGTTTATCCATCTACTCTGCATTTACCACTCTCTTTTACAGTTTTTTTTGTAATAGTATTTACAGAAAAAAAAAGTAATTTCAGGTGAGGGAAGTGGCTTGCAATGCAGTTAGAGAAAGAAGGAAGCAAAGAATGATGGAAAGAAAAGGGGGAAAGCCCTCAGCAGTTATTTAGCCAGTGGGGGACCTTCCTAATCTTGTAAAGCCTTTCAGCTCCTCAAGAAAAATCTCAAAATTGCCATTTAAAGCAAATTCTACCTTACTGATAAGCTAAGTCAACGTTGTAGGGGTCTATTTTGGCCTTCTAAACACAGACCGCCATAATGATGGGGGTCATATTCTCTTTCATCTTTATTAGGCTGAACTCATCAAAAAGTAAATTCTAAATTAGGGAAATTAATTATACCACTATCCTACAATATTCATACACCATATGGAGTATTCTGCTCAATTCATGATGCCACATTTTATCAGGGACAGGGGACAGTAACGCACTAAGATGTTTTCAAAAGATGTCAAGCAAGGTCTTGCAATCACATTGCCCCATTCATTTATTCATCTGTGTATTCACAAAACATTTCTTAAGAACATATGATTGCTAAGCACTGATTTAACTTGAATTTTTTTTAAATAAGACCTTATCCCTACTCTCAAAAATTTCACATTCCAGTCCTGCCATGCAAAAGGCAGTTGAATGAACAGGGTAATTTTTGTTCAGAAAAGAGAAGACTAAGTTTGAAGAGCTGTGCCTGAGAGAAGAGCAAATACAGGAAAATGCCACAATCTGTAGAAAACAGTCAGTAAGGGTGAGATAAGTGGTTTCATCCTGTTTATATGTCCTGAGGCTTGAGTGTATAAACAACCCACTCATAATGTTCTTTCTCTCTCATTCCCATTCCACCTACGATTAGGGCAAAGGGATGAGGTAGCCTGCCTTCCCTTTCATCAATCTTTCAGTTGCAGACCCTGACATTCATGTAAAAGCAATCCTGCAGGACAAAGTTACTATTGGACAGCTCAAGACAGGAAGGGTGTCTAGCCTTGAACAATCTAGGAAGAGTCCAGCCAAGTAAAAACTTGGATTCTGCCTTCGATTATCTGAACAGCTGTCATGTGGAATAAGAAACAGACTAGATGCACACAAAGTTAAAAGAAACCCAGTTGAGACCAAAGAATGGATATTATAAAGAATAAGCTTTTCCTGAATTTTTCTGAATTTGCTTTTCTTTCAGGGTCAGCTCTTCAAACTTAGTCCTCTCTTTTCTGAATAAAAATTACCCTGTTCATTCAACTACCTTTTGCATGACAGGACTGGAATGTGAAAATTTTTAGGGTAGGGATAATTTTTTCTAAAAAAAATTCAAATTAAATCACATAATATGCTCTTAAGAAATGTTTTGTGAATACACAGATAAATTAATGAATGGGGCAATGTGATTGCAAGACCTTGGTTGCCATCTTTTGGGAAAAATACATATATGTGTGTGTGTGTATATATATATATATGTATATGAACACTAGAGCAATACTTTTCAAATTTGGATGTGCACATGAATCACCTGGAGATCCTGTTGAATGTAGATTCTAATTCAGGTCTGGAATGAGATCTGAGACTCTTCATTTCTAAGCAGCTCCCAGGTTGTATGGATGCTGCTGCTGGTCCTAGGACTACATCTCAAGTCACACTGCTCTAGAGTTATCTGGCAATGGGGCTCATTAAGACATACTGGGTTGCCAGTCACTGGAAGTATTTAAGCAGATGTTACTATTTGTCAGGAATGTGATAGAAAGGATATAAGATTGTTAATAATAGGGAAAACTGAGTGTACAGTACACATGAACTTTCTTGTAATCTTTGTAATTTTTCTTTAGATCTAAAACAATTCTAAAGTAAAAGTGTTTTTTGTTTTTGTTTTTGTTTTCTGAGAGAGGGTCTTACTCTGTGGCCAAGGCTGGAATGCAGTGGTTTGATCACTACAGCCTCAACCTCCCAAGCTCAAGCCATCCTCCAACCTCAGCCTCCCAACTGGCAGGGACTACAGGCACGTGCAACCACACCTGGCTATTGTTTTTGGTTTTCTTTTGTAGAGACAGGGTTTCGCCAACTTGCCCAGGCTGGTCTCGAACTCCTCAGCTCAAGCCATCCCACCGCCTTGGCCTCCCAAAGTCCTGGGATTATAAGCATGTGCCACCATACCTGGCCCTAAAATAAAAGTTTTTATTAAAACAAATTTTCTCTTAAGGAGATAATTATCTTTGGGGTAAAGTATTTTCTTTATTGTGGCTTTTTAAAAAAAATTGATTGACACATAATAATTGTATATATTTATGAGATACATCTGATATTTTGATACAAGTATATACAATGTGTAATGATCATATCAGGGTAATTGTGATATCCATCATCTCATTTATCATTTCTTTATATTTGGAACATTCAAAATTCTCTCTTCTAACTGTTTTGAAATACACAATAAATTGTTGTTAACTATAGTCTTCATACTGTGCTATAGAACACTTGAACTTATTCTTCCTAATTAACCATAATTCTGTACTTGTTAACCAATGTCTCCCTATCCTCCACTCCCCTACCCATCCCAAGCTCTGATAACCACTATTCTACTCTCTAATTCTATGAGATCAACTTTTTTAGCTACCATATATGAGTGAGATCTTGTGGTGTGTGTCGTTCTGTGCTTGGCTTATTCCACTTAACATATATCCTCCAAGCTCATTCATGTTGCCACAAATGACAGGATTTCTTTCTTTTTTATGGTTGAATAATAGTCCCTCATGTATACATATACCACATTTTCTTTATCAATTCATCTGTTGATGGACACTTAGGTTGATTCCATATCTTGTCTATTGTGAATAGCACTGCAATAAACATGGGAGTGCAGATATATTTTCAACATACTAATTTCCTTTCCTTTGGATAAATATCCAGTAGTGAGATTGCTGGATCATATGATAGTTCCAGTTTTAATATTTTAGGACACCTCCCTACTGTTTTCTATAATGGCTGCACTAATTTAAATTCCTGCCAACAGTGTGTTAAGGGTTCCCATTTCTTCACATAGTTACCAAACCTTGTTGCCTTTTGTCTTTTTGACAACAGTCATTCTAACAGGAGTGAGGTAATATGTTATCATGGTTTTGATTTGCATTTCCCTGATGATTAGAGATATTAGCATTTTTCTTCCATCTGTTGGCCATCTGTACATCTTCTTTTCAGAAATGTCTATTTAGGTCTTTTGGGTTATTGGCTTTTTTTGCTATTGAGTTGTTTCAGCTCCTTGTATATTTTGGATATTGACCCCTTATCGGATGTATAGGTTGCAAACATTTTCTCCTATTCTGTAGATTGTCTCTTCACTGTGTTGATTGTTTCCTTTGCTGTACAGAAACTTTTTCACTTGATATAACCCTCCAATTTGTCTGTTTTTGCTTTTACTACTTGTTTTTTTAAGGTCTTATTGATAAAATCTTTGCCCAGACCAACATCCTAAAGCATTTCCCTTATGTTTTCTTCTCATAGCTTCATAGTTTCAGATCTTACATTTAAGTCTTTGACTCATTTTGAGATAATTATCTTTTTAGTGAAAAAAATGCCATTATGACTATGGAATCATAGCCCCAGGTCATGATAGATAGAGACTAGAGAAATATTAAGTTTGGAAGGGTTGTGATATTTCCAGAACCACCTAGCAGGAGATTAGGCGCCAAAGATTAGCAATAAGGGAATGGAAAGAAATCAGTGATATGGCAGGAGACCCTAGAAATTGAAGAGAGAAGTCAGTCTATAAAATATTTACAGTGGCTAAGAAAGTTTAAGAACTTGTGCCTAAGTCCAATTTAAATTTTTCTGTAGCATTATGATATAAAGTAAACCTTTGTGATAGCTTTTTCTCTGTTAAATATCTCATACAGACAACTGCCTTAAGTGATATTTTGAGAAACCAAAGAAAAATTGATGCTTTGGGGTACATGCTAGTGGAGGAGAGAGAACAGCCAAAAGAAGCAAAATGCAGGTGAGGAAAATAACTTTGAGAATCCAGAAGTCAGAACAAGAGGTGACTATAAGAGACGTAAGCCCTCAGAGAACATTTGGAGATATAGGAGGAGGGGAGATAATGACTTTCCCCTAATGCTGTAAGGCTATGATGTAAAGGGACACATTATTAGTAGTGTGTAAGTATATAGGCCTATTTTTAAATAGCAATTGTGAAAGTATTTGCCATGTGCAATTTTATGAGTGTATAAGATTAAACTCTAGTTCATATCAACCACTTCAAACAAAAGGAAGTTGCAAGTTATTTATTGCCATCTTAGTTGAAAAAATAATACGCCAGTACAGAAATTTCCTTTCAATTATGTGTTCCTGGCTTGCTGCCTTCTTAAAATAAATAAAGCAGCACTGTCCCACCTCCCAGAACAAAAACAATAGCACCATGTAACAGTTAAGCCAAAAAGCAAAACCTCCAAAGCAGACGGAATCAACTCCTTGTGCCAACTTCTTACTCTGTTGACTTTCATCTTTCTTGTTTACATTAGTGGAAATGTTTTCAAGATGTGCACTATTTCATTGATATCAGAATCCAGGTCTGTTGACAGAATAGGGTTCCTGTGGAGTGCACATTAGATTAGAACATCAGGGAAGCCAGGGTCAATTCAAATTCATGAAACAATTATTAATTGATTATACCAGGTAGTTTGACTAAAAGATACACAAGTCAGTAACACAGCCTTGTCCTCAAGAAAATTTTGGTCCGATATACAAGAGAAAACAAGTAAATAAATGACTGCTTAAAAATGTAAAGAAAGATCTCAAGATGAAAAAAGTTCTGCAGATTGGTTGTACAACAATGTGAATATACTTAACACTATTGAACTATATGGTTAAGATGGTAAATTTTATGTTATGGGTCTTTTGCCACAATTAAGAATTTTTTAATTTTAATGAAAAAAATATCTATAAAGATAATTGACTGACCACCCCATCCCCTTGGGAGAAAAAAGAGGGAAAGCCTGGCATGGGTTTGGCCCCAGGCAAGATTGGATTCTGGAATATGGAGCAAAAGCAAGACCTTACCCTGTAATACCTAATTTAGAAAAAAATCCAAGAAGTTATTTCAAAATCTATTGTGGAGAATCAATTATCAAATGCTAAGAGAACAAGTAGGAAAACCAAAGAACCAGAACTGGTGTGGAGTTGCAGTAAAAATAGAACAGAGATGGGCAAAAAACTGGCAGCGTCCGGGAAGAATCGACAAAATACAAAAAAGTACCTGAAATAAGAGAAAAAACAAGGAGCAATGGCCAGCAACAATCTCTAGCTCCCTCTCTAAGTTGTTGGTAAGCAATTCAAAAAGTGTAGGGACAAAGTAGGGATGGCTAGACACTAGGTGTGATGCTGCAGAACAAACTGCAAGGATTTTCCAGGATGGAAGGAGGAGGAAGATCAGGAAAAGCTTCATGGAAAAGTGGAAGTTAAAGTGAGCTTTAAAAGATGGACGATTAATACCTAGCTGATGGGTTGATAGGGGCAGCAAACCACCGCGGCACAGATTTACCTATATAACAAAACTGCACGTCCTGCACATGTATCCCAGAACTTAAAATTAAATTAAATTTAAAATAAATAAATAAATATTCACTTTTTTGGAAAAAAAAAAAAGATGGATGAATTTTAACATATGAGATGGAGAGGAAAGCATTCCCATACAACAAGAATAACATAACCACTGAAGCTATACGAAAGGCCAGGAATCATGGTAACGTATACCTAACACATGCATTTATCTAAAATGTGGGAAAATTAAGAAAATAATATGAAGTAACCCTAGAAAGAAGACTATGGCCACACTATTAGGATATCTCAGGCCATAATGAAGCATTACATAAAACTAGTTTTGCAATTATGTTTTTAATGTTTTGGAGTAGAGAGAGAAAATACATAAAGGACCTATTTAAAGGCTTTTCAGTGACTTGAGTAAGAAGATTGTACCCAACATAAGGTTTTATCTTGATTATTGCTGTTATTCCCACCTACTAATACCTAGTACCTAGTAGGTGAATAATAAGTGTTTGTTCAATTAATAACTTCACGCATAATAAGGAAAAGCTTAATTCATGAAAGAAGAGAGCCTAAGCTAAGATAATGACAACGGTAATGAAAAATTAAAAACAAACAAAAAATATTGTTGAGACAAAAATCAACATGATTTAATATTAGATTGGAAGTGGAGAAAGAATATATGATTCTGGAGTTTGGAGCCTGGGTGCACTGGGGGTAAAGTAGAGAAGATAATGAGTCTTTTACCCCCACTTGTGCACAGAAAAGATTTTTTATTGTTAATCTTTCTCATATGAGGTATAAGCTATGGTTGAACTCGGTAAATACCCACAGTACAGAAAGGAGCACAAGAAATTGTTTATAATTAACATGAAATTGAATTTACAAATTATCTAGCTATACTTTTTGGAATGGGTAGAAACAGTATTCTTAGCTAAATTCTAAAAGGATTCTAAGCAACTTGGATGCTGCAGTGAATGGATAGCTTGGGTCCCACTCAGCTTTTCTCAACAGAAACACAAAACGACAAAAGCTAATTAAGTAGAAAAGCTGCCCTATAGCTCATCTCACAATTTTAGAAACAATCCATTTTACTTTAAGTACTCCTAACAGATACCTTCTAAAAGGCAAGGATACTGGTAAAAATGAAACTCAATGTTCCCAGCTCACAATGTTTCCATCTCTGCCCTGATGGTTGGTAAAATAATCAAGATGATCTACATACTCCCCACTGTAATGTCTGGCTATTTGCTAAAACAGACGTTTGGCTTTTACGCCATAGATACCTTGAGGTTCCCCTAGGCAGAAAATCAGAGGAGAAAGCGCTTTCCCTTAAAAGACAAAATCTTAGATATTGAACACATGGATAAATCTGACCATACCTCTCTTTGAAATTTTAAACTAAAGCATAGGTAAAGAATGATATTTGGCTACCTTAATAGTCACTTAGCAATAGTGGGTATTACTAAGAAATCTCATTTCTTGTTCAGGGTAACATAAGCTCGTTAGATTTTCCTGAAGTTTTACAATCTAAACCCAAATAGACTCAGACCTGTTAGCTGGAAATGGGGCCTCTGGTTAGAGTTCTTTGATCTTCGTGATGTATTCTGTGTACATACGAAAATAACTGCCTGTGCCATTTATCATAAAGGATTTTAAGCATATGACAAACACTAATCACTTCCCATCTGAACTAGCAGAAGCAGATTCTTAAGGCCAGGCTGATCTCCCTGCCAGCAACAAAGACTTTGTTAGGGTGTAGTAAGGAAATGGAAGCACATTATACAACCACATATATAATTGCATATTGTTCAGCCCACAGTTTTTATTTTGGAGTTGGAGTCTTGTGTTCAAGATCCAATCCAAGATCCATTCAATCCTCTGATTTCCAAATAGCATTCTCTCCCATTATTAAAAATCCATGGGCATCCAGATTCCTCAGCATCCCCTGTGAGGGTTATCCAGTGTTCCACAAACATGATAAGTTGTTTACACTTCTGAAATCATCGATATAGTCACAGTTCTTTCTCCTTCTCAGTTGAAACTGGGGAAACGCAATCAGGAAGGAGCTTGGAAGATACTTCCACAAGTCATCCAAGAGGGTGGAGACCAAAATACAAGCACTGCAGCTTCAAAGGCCTAGCCGCTGGCTAACAAGAACTTGTTTTTAGGCCCAAGGATAAAAATACTCAAGATGGGCCATTTTCCGTAAAATGCTTAAGAAGAAATGAAAAATTATAACAGAATTATTTGGAGTCTTAAGGCACCTTTTTCATCTTGAAAAGCTGTCATTTCTAATATCTCTTTCCTCTAAAAGCCATTCTTACAACAGCCCAGATTGAAACCACTAGGATTGAACGGGGAAAAGTTCAGAAAACCCACAGTGAATTAGAGAAAACAGTCTCTACACCAAGAAAACAGAAATTTAAGAAGTCCAAGGGAATTTGCTCTCACAGGAAAAGAAGCCTGGTATGTATAATCCTCCCAGAAAAATTCATATTATCCCCAAGACAAGGCTCTAAATAAACTGTGCTACCACTGTCAAATTTTTAAGATTTTTTAAAGTAACATTGGGATTACCAGAAAATGTAATGTGCCATTACACATTAAAACACTTCCCTTCCTTCTCTTACTTTGCAAGCTGTTTTTTACAGTTCTCTTTTGGTACGTGGACAGCAGCATCCCCCAGTAATAAAAACAACACTGGAAGCGATGACCTATTGGATATTTACTAGGTGCCAGGGACTGTGCTGAGTATTTTGTAGTCATTAAGTCTTTTAGCCCTCACAGTAATCACTATAATCTGGTAGTATTAATTATCTTTTAGAAATAAGAAACTGAAGCTCAAAGAAATTAAGAGAATTTCCGAAAGATTGCATACCTGAAAGGTAGCAGAGCCAGGGTTCAAACCCCTGACCTTAGTAGCACTATACTGTTTCTATTGCTAATGAAAATGGAGGACGCATCAAGTATAAACTTGGCTTATTGCCCTGGCATTTGGGGTATGAAAAAAAAATTGTGCCTTCTTTATCAAGTCCCCTCTCACCCATAAAACTGAACTCACAAGTGATAGGGGCCAGGGAAATCCCAACAAATTGGAATTACAGAAAAGCAGCTTGAAAATGAGTGTTTAAATGTTGGTTGATTTGGTTGAAGTAAAGAGTGGGATGGAGGAGATTAACTAAAAGCCCAATGAATGTGGGGAAATTCTCCAGGACATTGGTCTTGGCAACTATTTCTTGAGTAATACCTCAAAAGATCAGGCAACCAAAGTGAAAATGGAAAAATGAGATCACATCAAGCTAAAAAGCTTCTATGTGGCAAGAGAAACAACAAAGTGAAGTGACAACCCACAGAATGGGAGAAAATATTTGCAAACTATCCATCTGACAAGGGATTAATACCCAAATATATAAGTAACTCAAACAACTCTATAGGAGGAAAATCAAATAATCCAATTTACAAATGGGCAAAACATCTGTAATAAAAATTTCCCAAATGAAGACATACAGATGGCCAACAGGTATATAAAAAAATACTCAACAACATTGATCATCAGAGTAATGCAAATCAAAAGTGCAATGAGATACCATTCCACTGTAGTTAAAAAGGTTTTTATCCAAAAGACAGACAGTAACAAATGCTGGTGAGGATGTGGCAAAAGGGGAGTCCCTATACACTGTTGATGGGAATGTCAATTAGTACAGCCACTATGGCAAACAATATGAAAGTTCCTTGGAAAACTATAGAACTACTACATGATCTAGCAATCCTACTGCTAGGTAAATATCCAAAAGAAAGGAAATCAGTATGTTGAAGAGATATCTGCACTCACATGCTTATTGCAGCACTATTCATAGTAGCCAAGATTTGGTATCAACCTAAGTGTCCATCAACAGATGAACAAATAAAGAAAATGTGGTACATATACATAATGAAGTATTATTCAGCAATAAAAAAGAACAAAATCCTGTCATTTGCAACAACATAGATGAAACTGGAAGACATTATATTCGGTGAAATAAGCCAGGCACAGAAAGACAAACTTCTCATGTTCTCACTCACATGTGGGAGCTAAAAGTTAAAGCAATTGAACCCATTGAGATAGAGAGTAGAAGGATGATTAGCAGAGGCTGGGAAGGATAGCAGGGTGGGAGTGGTAGGGGGTGGGGAAATGAGTAATAGGTGCAAAAATAAACTTAGATAGAATGAATAAGATCTAGTATTTGGTAGCACAACAGGGTGACTATAGTCAACAATAATTAATTGTATATTTTTTAATAACTAGGCTGGGCATGGTGGCTCACACCTGTAATCCTAGCACTTTGGGAGGCTGAGGCAAGCAGACCGCTTGAGCTCAGGAGTTTGACACCAACCTGGGCAACATAAGAAAACCCTGTCTCAAAAAATACAAAAATTAGCCAGGTACAGTGGTGTGCACCTGTAGTCCCAGCTACTTGGGAGGCTGAGATGGGAGGATTGCTCCAGCCCAGGAGGTTGATTCAATGCTGTAGTGAGCCATAATCATGCCACTGTACTCCAGCCAGGGTGATGGAATGAGATCCTGTTAAAAAAAAGAAGAAGAAGAAGAAAGAAAAAAAGAGAAAGAGAAAGAGAGAGAGAGAGAGGGAGGGAAAGAAAGAGGAAAGAGAAAGAAAAGAAAGAAAGAAAGAAAGAAAGAAAGAAAGAGAGAGAGAGAGAGAGAAAGAAAGAAAGAAAGAAAGAAAGAAAGAAAGAAAGAAAGAAAGAAAGAAAGGAAGGAAGGAAGGAAGGAGAGGGAGGGAGGGAAAGAAAGAAAGAAAGAAAGAGAAAGAAAGAAGGAAAGAAAGGAAGAGAGAGGGAGGGAGAGAGGGAGGGAAAGAAAGAGGAAAGAAAGAAACAAAGAAAGAAAGAGAAAGGAAGGAAGGAAGGAGAAGAAAGAAAGATGAAAGAAAGAGAGAAGGAAAGAAAGAGAGAAAGAAAGGAAGGAAGGAGAGCAAAAGAAAAACAGAAAAGAAAGACGAAAAAAGAAAGAAAGAAAAGGAAAGAAAGAAAGAAAGAAAAAGAGTGGAATTGGAATGTTCCTAACACAAAGAAATAATACATGCTTGAAGTGATGCATACCCCAATTACCCTGAGGTGTTACACATTGTAGCCTGTATCAAAATATCACATGTGCCCATAAATATATATATACCTATTATGTACCTAAGATAATTTTAAAAAAAAATTTTTTAATTTAAAGCCCAATGAAGGGACAAGTTTAACCTTCAGTTTTATTCAAGATACACAGAGGTGACAGTCCCAAGTACATCTGCTGGTCTGTAAATGTAATCACATTTATTTATTTAAATATGGTCAACTTTTCTTTACTCTGGTACAACCTTACTTTGTTTTTTCCTAGCTATGTATATATATTTAGATTTAAATTTATATAAGATATATGCATATAAATGTATATATAAAACCACACATAACAATTCAAGTATCCAATATTTACTTACTATACCTACAACAACCCAGAATCTAAGAGGGAAACAGACAGTAGGCAAAATGTTCTTTCCACACTCAAAATAGATATGACAAACATCATGTAGTGCCCACATTCAGAGCTTACGAGCTTTTATTTTACTCATCATTACTCAATTCCACTGCTAATAAGTAAATGGAAAGAAAAGACAACATCCTTCGCAGCAGCAAAAAGTGACAACTGACAGACAAATAGTAAAAACTATAAAAAGTCCATTCACATACAGTAGTTGCTTAATATATTGTTGTTGAATGAATGGGTGAATGAGCAAACTTTCCAAAAATTCTATTATACAATTGGTTAAACTGCAGTTTGTGTGAAAAGATCTGGGTGTTTTAGTTATCTGTGTGCAGAATATGAGTCAAGAATTAGTGTTATATTAGATTGAATAAACTGTTTTATAGAGTGGTAGGAACAGAACTAACATAGGCAACCTTCAATAACAGCACATGTGTGTGTTTCTCTGTTTTTCTGTCAGGGTGGGACGGTGATTATTGTAAGGATTCAGAGATCTCAAAGAAATGAAGAACAGCTGACCATCATGGAAACTGGAGCCACGGGCTG
The DNA here is from genome assembly GCF_000001405.40 of Homo sapiens. Lineage (NCBI taxonomy): Eukaryota > Metazoa > Chordata > Mammalia > Primates > Hominidae > Homo > Homo sapiens. The sequence goes on along the minus strand of NC_000001.11, from coordinate 65,486,842 downwards.
GAAAGCCATCAGGTATCTGGACAGCCATATGGCCCACCTCATGTTCTCCCTGAGGTCACGTGTCTCTCATCTTTGTTACTCTTGGTTCTCCTAGAAATGTTAGCCTCCATGAGGCTTTAACTAGTCCTCACTTTCAGCCTTAGTGTTGGAACTTTCAGCTCATCTCCCCAGAGATAGGTCTTAATTCCAAATACCCAGGAGAGGAATTTGATTGGCCCAGATTAAATCAGATATTTACCTTTTCTCCAACAAGTCATGGCCAAGTGTGGCAGGGTAAAACGTTACAACCACTACTAGAGCAGCATTCAGGATTTATTCACTCAATCATGAATTTACCTGCTTACATATGATATGTGGTCCTTCACCACATGGAGCTCACATTTGAGAAGAGTTAATGGTCACATTTTATGCTTCACATGTCAAAGAAATATAATACTTTCTTTCAGTCACTCTAGTGGAGAAAAGAGAGAACTCATTTAGTCATTCATCAAGAAATTTAATGAGTACCAACTATATTTCCTACACAGCGCTAGGTGCTATGGTTATAATGGAGCACAAAATGAGACCCAATCCCTGCCTCATGAGTGAAATTTGACTGTTACCTTCAAATTTTAAAGTTTTTCATGAATAAAATATATATCTATTCTGTTCTGCTTTCAAAGGCAGAACTCACATCAGAGAATGAAAGTTGCATAAAGAAAAACGGCTGAATGAACTATCTGTTAGTAGATTCCAGAAATAAAGTTAAAATTCCCAGAAGATTGTGCTTCCCTCTCCAACTACAGCAAGTGGAGATAACTATGAAGAATATTACCAAAGTAATTCAGCATGAGAGAAAAGGTTTACAGTATTTGCTAAAGTGCCTTTTAAATCTAAGATTCCAAAATGGAGCTTTGGGGAATGGTGTTCAGAAGCACCGTAACTCCATCTGACACTCCAGTTCACCTTAGAGAGAGAGCTTCCCAACAGGCTTAATTACGTCATTCCCCATCCTCATTCTTCTTGGATGTACTGTCTGTACAGACAACATTGCAGAAATGTTCAAAGAGACCCACAATGGCTCCAAAAGAACATTTTTATAAGCAATATTGTAGACTGACTGTACAAATTGGTAATGGAAGCACTATAGGATCTATTGTGACTAATCTGATTTTAGAACAATACTGAAAATGGCACAACTTGTAGCAGACAGGAAAATGGGCTGACCTCTCAGAAAGAGAGAGAGAGAGAGTTTGTGTGTCTGCATGTGACAACAAGAAAAGATTTATGTAAGCAACCTTGAAGATCATCTGAACCCCACCTCCTATCTAAAAGGTGATGGTGATGCTCTCTATGGCAACAGAAAGATGCAAGAAAGCCAAGAATTTCAAATGCAGACTTTGGGGCCCACCACAGGGCAGAGGGTTTGGGTCCTGGCTCCCTCATCTTTGCCTTTTATTTCATTTGTAAAAAGGATATAATCACAACACCTACTGCACATAATGATTAAAAAAGAAAAAAATATACATAAGGCACTTAGCCCAGTCAGTGCCTGGCCCATGGTAAGCATTCAAGATACGTTAGTTGTAAATTAACATAATTATGAACGTGTGTTGACTGCTTTATCTGAATTTTCTCATTACTCTTCCCTGTTTTATAGATGAAGAAATGCTTTATGGATGAAAAGATTGAGACTTAGAGGAGTTAGCTAAATTGATCAATGTCAAACAGTGAGTGGCATGGATGGAATTTGAACCCCAGTAGATTTCAACCAATAATTTAAACCCAAGTAGTTTCCAACTACTTCAAGTGTATTCTCTCTGCCTGGCATCTTTACTATCCGGCTTCTGTCTGCATTTTTGGTCATATGAAACAAACATGAATTTAGTTGTCTGAAAGATAGTTCCTTTCACTGACCAGATAGCAGATTTCCTTATAAACATATACAGTATTGTGATGAATTTCAGAATAAAAATCATAGCAGTATCCTTTAACCATCCTTTTCTTCAAAAGAAGCATGCAATTTTCAGATTCTAGTAAACCATATTGAAGGATGCATCTGATAACCTATGTTTGCTCTGAAATTGACCTAAACAAATCTTGATCTCATTGGCTTGTTACAAAATATGATCTCTTTGGGTGTGGAACAACTTTCCTTCCCCATGAGTTATTATTGAAGCCAGAGGCTTTTCAGTTGCATGAAATACTCAGGATTCTGATCTGATGGCACTATGCCTCACCCAGAGTCCTCCTGTACCTTCGGTGTTCTTTATCATCATTCTTTCCTAGTTCATATTGACAAGTCTCAGTGTTAAAAGAACAACTGATGACGCTCTCTTTGTACAGTCCACAATAGAATAAATATTGACCAGAATGTAGGAAAACCTTGGACGTGTGACAACACTGACTTGAAAGCAAATCATTAGTTTAAAAAACAAGTGTGTGATAAACGAACTCTTTTTTAAAAAAAAAAGTGTGGGAGGCATGTATATGTAACAAAATTCCCAAATGATGTTAGTAAATTAGATTTTAAAATCTAGAAGTAAAATATTTTGTTAATTCTATTAAATAAGAGCTTATAAGGAATTTCATGTCCCCTGATTACACAAATATTAAGCTCCTACTATGGGCCAAGTAATCTGGGAACTAGGGGTATCGCAATAGTAGCCTAGTGGACGGATACAAACACACAATAAAAAAGTGTAAAGGCCAGGCACAGTGACTGGTGCTTTTAATCCCAGCACTTTGGAAGGCCGAGGCAAGAGGATCTCTTGAAGCTAGGGGTTCGAGACCAGCCTGGGCAATGTAACAAGACCCTACCTCTACAAAAAATTTAAAATTACCCTGCAGTGATCTATGACTGTGCCACTGCACTCCAGCCTAGACAACAGAGCAAGACTTTATCTCAAAAAAAAAAGGAGAGAAGGGAAAAAATTAAAAATTTAAAATGTAAAGTCATGATGAAGGTTATAAAGAAAAAAAAACAAGGAAGAAGATAGTGACAAGTAGGATGGGTGGTCACTTTTCAGATAAAATTATCAGAGAAATCATCTTAAAAAGATGACCTTTCAGCAGGCACTAGAATGAATGAAGAGACAGAGCCATGTGGATATCTGGAGGATGGATATTCCGGTAAGAGGGAATGGCAAATATAAAAGAATAATCGAGAAATACTTCCAAGGACTGAGGATGGCAAGAGTGATGGGAAAGTAGTAACAAGTGAGATTAGAGAAGCAAGGGAGAACCAGATCATACATACCAAGTCCTGGTAGGGCATTTTAAGGACTTTGATTTTATAGCGGTGGCCTTGATATAAGTTAATATTCACAGGCTGATGCCACACAAGCCTAAGGTTGTTGTGATATCGTAACTCCCTCAAAAACTTAGGAGACAGGCCTTATTCCTTTAGGTTAATTCCATGCTGAATCTATCATTGTCTAAGGTTCTCATTGTCCTACATCAACAGTTTTTTGTAATATCAGGTTGTATTTTTCCAATCTGATAGGTAGGAAATGGTGATACATTGTCGTTTTAATTTTCATTTCCAAGATTACTAAGGAGTTTGAGAACATGTCCATGGTATTGTCTTTTTCTTATTGATTTGTAGAAAAATCAATATTGATTTGTATATCTGAATACTAATTATTTGCTAGATACACACACGCACACACACACAACATTCTCCAAGTCTGCTTTCTGCTGTCCTTACAGTGTCTCCTGATGAACAGAGGTTCTTAATGTGCTCAAATTTACCAATCTTTCTCTTTATGGTTTGTGCGCTTTGTGTTTTGTCTAAGCAATATTTCCCTGCCCCAAGTCACAGATACTCCCTTTGTAGACTTTTACCTTCCACATTTACTTTTTTTTTTTTTTTTTGAGACAGAGTCTCACTCTGTCACCCAGGCTGGAGTGTAGTGGCACAATCTCGGCTCACTGCAACCTCCACCTCCCAGGTTCAAGTAATTCTCCTGCCTCAGCCTCCCAAGTAGTTGGGATTACAGGTGTGTGCCACCACGCCTGGCTAATTTTTTTGTATCTTTAGTAGAGACAGGGTTTCACCATATTGGCCAAGCTGGTCTCGAACTCCTGACCTTGTGATACGCCTGCCTTGGCCTCCCAAAGTGCTGGGATTACAGGCTTGAGCCATCGCACCCAGCCTCACATTTACATTTTTAATAGACATGGAATTGATATCTATGTTCATGGTAAAGTGAACATCCAATTCCACTTCTTCCATGTAAGTAACCAATTATTTCAACCCCATATGTTGACCAATTCCCTCATTTCACTGGTTTTCAGCAATGCCACCTCTGTCACATACCAAGTTTGTTATGTTCCATTGCTCCCTTGGTCCCTTAGTCCTCATACCAGTCACTCACTCACTTCTTATTTAATAAGCTTAATAATAAAATTTGCTTCATCTTTTTCAGGACAATTTGGGTCATTCTCAGACCCTCAAGTCATCTATATAAATTTTAGAACCAGCTTTCAAGCTTTGTCATTTCAAGCTTTTTAGTACAACACAGATTGCCTTCAGATACATATTTTAATCCCATTGAATATATTGTTCCATTTGAGTAGATACAGCATCTCAAAATATTTTGTCTACAAATTCATACATATGATATATCTTCTATTAATTCTGGTATTTTTAATATCTTTTAATAAATTTAATAATTGTCTCCATTAAGGTCTTTATTTTTTCAGCTCATTCCCTGGTGTGTGTGTGTGTGTGTGTGTATGTGTAAAATTGCCATTGTAAATTAAATTGTAACTTTTAATTTCAGCTCTTTTAGAGCTTTGTTGCTGTTGTATAGAAATACAATGTATTTGTATATTGATTTTTATCCAACAACTTATCTAAACTTTTTAATCAATTTTAGTAATGTATCTGTAGCTTGTTGTAGGTGTTCCATATTAAATCATCATATAAAATTTCTAAAATGCTAATTTCCTCTTTTTTCTTCTAATTCTTATACTCTTCTTTTTCTTGTTTTTGTTTAGGGTTTTAACTTTTCTTCTGGGGTGTTTTTTTTTTTTTAGTAACATTAGCAAATTACCTGAAAGATAATGTGTCTGAAGTTGTACCAAACTTGTACCAAAGTTGAAGTATATTTACATACCTGGAATAAATTGAACTTGATAATGATGTATTAATTCCTATACATATTGCTGTAATTACTTTTAAATAATATAAAGTCTGGGATTTTTGTACCTATGTCTTAAACATTGGTCTATAATTTACTTTTATTTATTATACCTATTCAATCCACTTTTAGAATGAAATGAGTTGGGCAACTTTTTCTTATCTTTTATTTTCTGATACAACTAAAGTAATATAGGGATTTTCTGTTCCTTGGAAAGTGTGTTTGGACTCACCTGTAAAACAACCACAGTCTCTATCTACTAGGAATGTGGTAGTAAAAGGAAAGGATTAATAATCATGTTATATTATTGGTGTATTTAATTTTCTATTTCACATTTATGCTGGGAAGTTGTGGGTTTTTTTTCCCCGAAACCCACTTTTCTAGACTGTTATGGGCTGAATCATATTCCTAGAAAATTCATATAAAGTCTTAATCCTCAATTCCTCGAATTGTGACTGTATTTAGAGATAGGGCCTTCAGAGAGGTGATTATGTTAAAATGAGGCTGTTAGGGTGGGCCCAAATCTAACCTGCCTGCTGTTGTTATAAGGAGATACATGTGACAGCAGGCATGCCTGCACACAGAAGAAAGACCACGTGAGGATACAGTAGGAAGGCAGTCAGTCATCTGCAAGCCAAGGAGAGAGGCCTCAGGGGAAACCAAACCTACCAACACCTTGATCTTAGACTTCTAGCCTCCAAAGCTGTGAGAAAATGCATTTCTGTTGCTTAAGCCACTCAGTCTATGGTATTTTGTTATAAGAGCTCTAGGAAACTAATATATACGTATTTATTGGAGTGTAAGCTAGTTGTTCAAAACATTTTTTTCTTTCTCTCTTTATCATGTATTTTGCTTATTCATATCTTTTCTTTTTTTCTTAACCTTGCTAGAGATTTTTCTGTCTTATTAAGAGTGAACCAGACCTCCTGGTTCAGATCCTGGCTCTGCTATTACTGGTAGTGTGAACTTTGACAAGCTACTCAACTTCTCTTAGCTTCTTTTTCCTCTTTTGTAAAATGGGGATAAATATCCTCATGTATATATCTTTAATATATAAATAAATAGGAAAAACAGAAAATCTACTCAAACCTATAAATTTCCTCTGCCTTAGCGACTTCCAGTAAATTTTGATATGAGATACTTTCGTTATCATTCACCTGTGGGTATTTTGTATTTTCCTTTTAAATTATCATTTACTGCAAGGGTTAACTGGCACCCTGTATTCCATTTTATTTTGTTTCCAGAGATAGGGAGTGTTTTGTCTCCCTTCCATTATATCTTAGCTTCACTCTAGTCCTTACTGGATACATCTGTCTCCATGCAGCTCCTGGTTCATAGACACCATATCTTCTTGTACTTTTCTGAGGATGCCAGACTATTTCTTAAATATTTTTCTGGATCCCAGACTAGCTGGTTTTCACATGTGTATTCTTCCTCAAAAACCATCTCGATACGGTTTTTCTTTGTTGCACAGTATCTTTTTTTTTTCTACCATAGGAATTGTTTTATTTTTCTTCTCTACTTCTTGAACAAGGCAAGACCTATTAAAGCTCCAGGTTTTCAATAGGTAGGTGGATGGAGTTTCTGTTGGTCCTGCTCATTGTCCATTGGTGTGGTGGTTGACTACTTTTCTCAAATCTAGAACTGAAGGGTAGATTGACAGGCACTGCTCGCATTCTAAACCCTAGATTCTAGCTGGCTTCCTTCTGGCCTGCTTCTGTTTTTCATGGGTTAACACGTTTCACGTTCCTTCCACCTGACAGAGTTGTTTTTTTGTTTGTTTGTTTGTTTGTTTTTTGTCTTGTTTTGTTTTGTTTTTAGTGAGCTAAACTGATTACATACCTACTAAGATCAAGTTTCTTTTTCAACTTAAACCTTCAGGACTGTATTCCTGGGAATTGCCTTCTTAGAAAGCAGTGAATGCTGCTGATTGTCTTCTACTTTCTGCCCAGTTGTTTTGGAGGATTTGTGGTTTAGTATCTACCTGGCATTAAGAAGATGACAGTTGAGTTTGATGACGGATATACAGAAGATCAGGAAATATGTACTCTGTCTTAGAAAGCACTTTTAGAAAGGCATACAGGGCTTCCTCAAAACCCATTTTCTTTATTGTCTGAACAAGTGAAGAAGTGTAAACTACTGCTCTACCTCTGGTCAGGTAGATGTCTCTGGAAGCGAAGCTGGTATATGCCAGATACGCTTTGGAAATTGCTTCATGATATGTCCTATCTCTATCATTTTCTTACATGTTACTCTGGGGACAAGTTTATTAACCTCTCTGCCTCTCTCGGTTTCCTCACCTGTACAAAGGGGAAGTGTACCTCTATGGGCTATTATAAGGCATAAAAGTCATAATCCATATAGAATACTTAGAACTATGCCTAGATTCATAAATGTTCCATGATCATTATTTAATAATGCTGCTGCTGCTGCTATTGTAAAAAAAAATATGTCCTGTACTAAGAGCTATGGGACTTAGGTGCATTTCTATCTCCTCCAACTGAATAATCCTGAGCTTTATTTTCCTCCCTGTGCCTTTTTCCATTTGTAAAATTACAGTGTTGGGATATACAATCTCCAAAATCCTGCCTGCTCTGACATACACACCGTGGAAGCTGTAGCATCACTTTGCTTCATGAATCCTCTGGGATTGGAAATTCTTTATAAGACTGTATTAAACAAACACAACTCTTTCTGAATCCTGCAAAACGAAACTGGACCTGGGACAAGTATTTTAACACAAAGTTCTATTTGTCCTCAATCTTGTTTGGCCCTGACCAAATGTAGGGTGTGATTTTTTTCTTCTCCACTCCTTCTTACACAAGGCAAGACCTACTCAAACTCCAGGTTTTCAACAGGTGGGGTGAGTACAGTTTCCATTGGTCCTACTTGTTGCCCATTGGTATGGTGGTTGACTACTTTTCTCAAATCTAGAACTGAAGGGTAGATTCACTGGCGCTGATCTCATTCCAAAACCCACCTTCTAGCTTACTTCTTTCTGGTCTACCCCTACTTTTTGTGGTTAACATGCTCCTTCCATACAACTGAGCTGTTTTTGTTTTTGTTTTTAGTGAGCTGAACAGATTAAGTACCCACTAAGATCAAGTTTCTTCCTTTCAACTTAAACTTCAGGACTGAACTCTAACTGAACTGCAGACGAGCAAGCATAGGAATGTGTATGGAATATGAGCCACTTTGATATTGAAGTTGGCATGCAGCAAAAGCTGACTAAATACATCTCCCTGAAGCAGAGGTCCACACAAAACAATTTGGGAAAATGAGCTCTAAAAGCCTTCAAAAGACCTCTTTCTACCTACCATAATTAACCAGTGTTTAAGAAAACATGGCAGCCTTTTAGATGTAATATAATTTTACAGTTTTCATTGTGATTCCCATATTTATATTCCACATAATAGAGTGAGTTAGGATGGACGGCCCCATTACCCAACCAAAGGGGGACTTGGAGAGCCAATAATTGGCAGAGATGTCAGTGGGACCCAGGTCTCCCAAATCCTAGCCTGGGTGTTTTTCCACTAAACTTGGTCTTCCTCTTAGTTTTTATAAGAAGCCCTTCAAGCTCTTGCACATATTTAGGTCAAAATTACTACTTTCAGACCTATTGTCTGATTTGGAAGGAAATCTTGTAATTACAGGATGACTTCAAAACAATATTCAATTGCATAATAGGAGTGTGGGTTGCATGTTTTGAGCATTAATAATACTAAGAAGCCTTCCATTTATTTGGTTGAACAAAAATAGTAATCCAATGTCCACTACCCAAAATGGCCCAAGTAACTATAAAAGCTACTCTAAAGGGATGAAGAGCTGTGGGAAATGACTAAATAGCACTGAAAGCAGTACTCTGCTCTTTAAAAGTTCAAAAATTAGGCAATCTGGGTGAGAGAAAGATGTGATCTAAAGGAAACAGGACACAGCCCTGAACAAATTCCAGAACTCATAATGTGGTCAGGTTATACAATCAAGTGCTAAAACCAATTTTGGGGCATTGCTTTAAAAAGCATTCCTGTTGAACCCATTTGAGGGCAGGTGGCCTCTTCAGTATGGCCTTGCACTTGTGTATGGCACCTGCCCTTGGCCCCAGGCACAGTGTACACTCCTTTGGTGTTGCAAGTGCCTGCCACAGAGATCCCAGGTGGCATTCAAGGGATGACTCAAGGTCCCACCCATTAAAAATATACCTTCCACATGGCACTGCCTTACCCTTCGTGTAGAAGTGGAAATAGTACAGCATTTCTGAAGGGCACTTTGACAGTTGTATTCATTCAGGTATCCATCATTGGACAAAGAGATACTAAGCTACCTCTCCATGCCAGGCACTCTGTTAACGACTGTAGATACTGAAGTGAGCAAAGTAGACAAAAATCTCTGCCCTTATGGAGCTGACATTCTAGTATGTATGTGGAAGTGGGGCCACGGGGAGGTGGGGAGATAAGTTACTCTGAGGAAGCAAAGTAAATTAAAAAGTAATTAATAAATAGAAGGTAAGAAATTCTTTGGAGAAAACTTAAGCAGTAATGAGGACAGGGAATGGAGGTGGGTAAGGAAAGATCTCACTGATAAGGTGATACCTATCCTAAAATTATGTCTAAAAGATTATAGCTACAAAAAAAGAAGAAAAACTGAATGGAAACACATAAAGTGCAATTTGTGGTTATCTTTAGAAGATATTTGCGGCAATTTTCTGTACTGTGTTCTGCATATGTGTGCTTGTGTGTTTTTAATTAGTTGGAAATTTTGACAATGTACTCTGGCATCTTTATTTCTTAAAAGACCCCACCAAGCAATTCTGAGGCACAGTAAAATATAAAATTGTTTTCTTCGCACCTTACATTTTAAGTTCTATGCTCAAAAAGATTCTAGTAGTTCTGGGCATGCTGAGTTCAACATTTTAAGTTATACGTATTTTTTAATTGCCCTGCAATTCCCCTCAATTGGGTTACTGAAGAATTATATGTAAATATCTCATAGTGCATTGTGAGAAATGAGTTATGTAATCCATGTAAAGAGGTTAGCATCAGGCTCAATAAATGTTTAGCTGCCATCAGTGTTATTATTGTTAGAGGCTTAGTGGAGAACTTGCTGTTTGATCTGGACCTTGAAAAAGAAATGGGTAAAGGATGTGGATAAAGGTCAGAGGGTGGATTATCCAGGCAGGAAAAATACATTGGCAAAAACATGAGGAATGACCTCATTGTGAGCAAAGGGAAGTCTCCCTTTCATTCAGTAGACCTTTACTGAGCTATTGGACCACAAGCTCCGGGAGTTCTGAGGCTATGTCCACCCCGTTCACTGCTTTATCCCAGCACTTAGTACAGCACGTTACACAAAAAGAGCTGTAAATATTTGTTGACTGTTCAAAGTATTTTAACCACCACTAAAAGCATGTTCATTTTAGATGTGTCCTCAGGCAGCTTCTGTGACATCAGTTGTCATTTTAATAAAGAGCTAACCAGAGCCACTCTAAGAAAATGAGTTCACCAAGATATATTCAAGCTACAATAAAATGTAATAATTTTTGGATTTGTATGCAATAACAACTCATTCATCTAGTATGGTTAGGAAATTAGTAACTTATTTATAATGGAAACATCCCTTTAATGCTAAAGGTTTTCAATTCTATTTTAACCAAGTTGGATGGAAATATTTTTAATTTGGGGGGTTTTTTGTTTTGTTTGTTTTAACACAGGGTCTCGTTCTGTCACCCAGGCTGGAGTGCAGTGGCGTGATCATGGCTCACTGCAGACTCAACCTCCTGGGCTCAGGCAATCCTCCCACCTCAAGCCTCCCGAGCAGCAGGGATTACAGGCACACACCACCATGCCCAGCTAAATGTTTGTATTTTTGTACAGATGGGGTTTCACTATGTTGTCTAAGCTGGTTTCGTAATGGTGGGCTCAAGTGATCCTCCTGCCTCTGCCTCCCAAAGTGCTGGGATTACAGGTGTTAGCCACCATGCCTGGCCTATTTTTAATTTTTATTACAAATATCTGTGGCTTTTTGAACACTGCATATAGAACAAAATTGATCCCTTTAATGAATCTGTGTCAGTTATGAAACACAAGCTGTGAGCAGCCAAAGACCACCTTTGACTAACATATTTTATTAGAATGTTTTAAAGTAGTCTTCCAAATTAAAAGAAAATTGGACAACCAGTCTTGAAAAGGTCAGGGACCATGCAGCTCCAGGGTTCTACGTGGAAGGGAAGAATTCAGGATACCACCATAAGGATGAGCCAGCCCAGTAGCTTTGTGTTGGCTCTGCTCAACATCCAAATTCCTGCAAAAAGGTGACTGACTTGTCTTGGACCATAAGCTCAGCCTTGTTCAGGAGATGGGAAAGCTCCTTACATGATGGTTCCTTTGGAACAGAATACAAATTGGGAAGGGTAATTTTCTGAAGAAAAATCATAGTGCTGCCTCCAGAGGAGAGCAGAATGAATGCTGAGCATGTGAAAACACGGAAGTCCAACACAATAATGAATAATCATTTTGAACATCAATTATAGTATTAACTTGTAATTCAGTAATGTTCTTGAAAACTGATGTTTAAGGCTATCTTTCCCCTTTAATTAGTGGTCTCAGGCTTCTTTACTTTTTGAGTTTCTAATTTTTATAATTCTCTTGTCTTTTTTTTTTTCACCTTTCAAAATGATTATTTTCTTGCTACTTTTTTTTTTTTTTTTTTTTTTTGAGATGGAGTCTCGCACTGTCGCCCAGACTGGAGTACAATGGTGCGATCTCGGCTCAGTTCAACCTCCACCTCCCAGGTTCAAGCAATTCTCCTGCCTCAGCCTCCCAAGTAGCTGGGATTACAGGTGCACGCCACTACGCCTGTCTAATTTTTTGTATTTTTAATAGAGACAGGGTTTCACTATGTTGGTCAGGCTGGTCTCAAACTCCTGACCTCGTGATCTGCCCGCCTCGGCCTCCCAAAGTGCTGGGATTACAGGCATGAGCCACCGCACCTGGCCTTTTCTTGCTACTTTCAATTTACCCACTTTGGGCAGTCTCCATCCACTTTCTTCCTCTATTTGGCTGTGGACTGGGAAATGAAATAAACAAGCTTGTTAGATGTGTGTATGTAATGGGACTGTGAATAAGTATGAGTCTATGAGTAAAGCACATGATAAATGCATAGACTTGGTGTCATTTACATTGACTGCTCAAAGACTTCTCTTGCTAATGTTTAGTTGTTTAGCTACTTAGATAGTGACCAGATGAGGAATTTCTCTGTAAATGATATGCTACCAATTATAAGAACACATGTCCTTTTTATAATTGCTTTAAATTCATTTTCACCATATCATTGAAAGGAAGGAGAGGGCAAATATTTGCTCAGTTTTAAAAGTATGAAAAATGGAGCCACAGAGGGCTTAAGTACACTGGGGAAAGGCTAGTGCTGAGCCCCAGGTGTCCTGGTTTCCATTTTAGAAGTTAGTTAATAGATTCAGCTATGTCAATATCAGGAGATGTACAGAATCATAGGTCAAAGACAGCTTAAAACTTCAGAGATCACTAGGGGATACAACAAGTGTATGATATAGACAGAAAAGCACAGGGAAAATTACATATGTGACTGTAAAACACACATACGAAGCTGTTAACAGCACCCACAGATGGGAACAAACATTGATTTCCCTGTTCAATCACTTTTAGCAACAACTTGGATAAAGATACTGAAAATATGTTTAACAATTGCAGGTGACACAAAATTGAAAAAGATTACCAGTATATTTAATGAGAGAACCAAGATCCTGGCTGAAACTACTGGCTAAAATGTAATATTGATTAGACAACATGAATTTTTCAATTTCTTATAATTATAGCTAACATTCTAATTTACAAACATGATGTAGGGGAAGTCTTACTTGACAACAATCATACGGGTTTTGGTTTGCTGCAAATAAAGAAATAATAATACCATTTATTGAAGATAGTGCCAGCATCATACTAAGTGCTTTATATGTACTATGTCAAGTCTCACAATTCTAAAACATAGGCATCATCATCATCCCCACATTGTAAGTGAGAAACTGATAATTTGAGAAGTTAGATAAAATGCCCCGAATCTGACAGCTAATGAATGTTGAAACCAGGTGTCAAATCTACCTAAATCCATGTCTTAACCAATATGCTGCTGTTATTATGTAAAAATAAATGCCATTATTAAAAGATTCAAGGAAGTCTCTTTGTACTACTCATTTTAATTGAAGTATGTGATTGTCATTTTCTAGGGGTCAATAACTTTTGTATTGATTTATATTTTTATAGAGATACTGTCATAGCATATTCTGAAAGCATTGGAAGGCATGCCATATGAGAAATCAATGAGAAAACAGAAGAGTCTAAAAGGTGCCTTCACATATAGAAATTTGAAACAGGAATTATGCATGGTGTCAAGAAATTGGCCTAGGCATTGGATTTAGCCAGACTAGATCCTTCTCTCTTAGCTGTGTGACCTTGTGCCAGTTCCCTCACCTGTAAAATGTGCAGGATGATCCCTGCCTGCCACTAATGTTGCAAGTGTTACAAACAATGCATATGAAGCTCCTTGGCACAGACCCTGGCACAGGGCAAGCCGTCAAGAGTATTATCACTGCTTTTTGTGGAAGCTAAAGAACAATGGACTTTACCTCAGTATTAGGAAGAATGGCACCTGTCAGAAAGATAATTGGCTGCCTTGTGAGGCAGTAAACTTCCATCCCTGGGGGCATTTAGCCAGCATTTATGTATGTATCTTAGAGGAATACTGCACTGCATTAGATGAGTTTTTGAATTAGATGCTATCTGAGGTCCCTTTTAAAGATGAGATTCTGTATAAGAACAGATGTGCTTTGCTTCATCTACAAAAATGTACTAACCAACCAGCAGTGGGACATCCTCATCTTATCCATTCCCCATTGAGCAAAGCGCACATCCTTTCCAGAAGCCGGACAAGGTAGAGAACTCTTTGCAACCCCAGGTTGGTGCACACTCTTCATGTAGTTAAGCAGCTCTGAAGAGAAAGTGGCTTTGGCATCAATTACACTCTTTTAAAAAAGAAATATATGTGTGTGTGTGTGTGTGTGTGTGTGTGTGTGTCTATATATATACACTCATTTAATTATTTATTCTGAGAGCATTGATATTTCATCAAACATCAAATAGCAATGCTGTGTGCTATGCACACAGGTCAATCATCTACTTCATTCACCATTTACCTATGGCTATAAGTAAAAAGTATATTATATATATATTATATATATACACACGTGTGTGTGTGTGTGTGTGTGTGTGTGTGTGTGTTTTAGCCACAGCTAAATGACCCAGAGGAATAAGGTTAGTTGGATTGGGAAGAAATGGAAGGGGAAAGACTGCAAGTTAATTTCTCCATCCACTCCACCCGTTTTCCCAAATGACAGCCCTGTTTATGAATTACACCATCTGGTCTGAGTTGCCTCATTTTACTACCTCACTCTAGCATGACATTAGTGAATTGATTTTATGCCTTATGCTTTTTTAAAAAAAACGGATGTTTGGTAATACCTTCTAGATACATGATGTTTTGAAGACCTCAGTTGCTCTTTGCTTTATCTTTTGAACCAAATTTCATAGTATTTATTCACAAAGGCCAAAAAAAATTTTACTACGTTACTAAAGTTTGGAAATTCTTCTGAGGTGATGAAAAGAGTAATTACAAACTGACTTTAAGCCTTGGGGAAGTGTTTTGGGCATTTTGTTTACAGGCCAGAGAGATGAAATCTACCTCTTTGAAGTCTTCCTCTTGACACATTTCTGGCCAGACTAAAGTAAAGTAATGAGATTTTCTAATATCACGGGATGTTATGTTTCTATTTTGAACTTTGGAAAATTTTTACCATTTGAAATTTATTAAAGTCAAATTATTCTGTATTCCACATGTTACTCCTGCCTGTAAATCACTTCCCCTAGCTCATGACCAGACTATTTTCTACTCATCCTTCAGATCTTTGCCAGAAGAGTTCATTACTTCATAGAGCCTTCCCTGACTACACTATAGAACTTTGCTTGCAAGTAGATCCTTCTTGAAAACATGATTCTCTGTTTGTCCATCAAAGATTTGGTCAAAGGTCTTTTGGAAAAACAGGTCAACCAGGTCATTTTTTGACTGGCCACATGGGCAAAAGCATTCATGTACAAAGGTCATGAGCAACACAAACATTGTAGAGGCACAAGACCTGCCAAAGTTTCATTACTACATTCCCTAACGCTTTCTGGGACTATAATGTTATCAAGATAATGTTTTGGGAAAGTACAAATTATCTCAACATGTGGGTGTATTTAACCAATAGCAGTCGTTTCCAATCAGTTTGTCTTAAAGATTTGCCTTTTGTTTTTTCCATGCCCTGACCCCACAACCCCTTATCATAAATGTATGAGGGCAGGGACAAAGTCCACAGTGCTCCTCATCTTACTCCTACTGTCCAGCACAGAGAAGGCATTCAATAAGCAATCAGTCAGTAAATGAGTGGATCCTACCTTAAGTCTGGTTCTCCTTGCATGCAGACAAATTAGGAGTGATCAAACCAAGAATACATAAAAACTTTTATATCAGCAAGGGAAGTTTGATTATCACATAAGTAACTGTTTAAGCCAGCATTACTTGGTTACCAGTCATCAGGAGTATTGTCTTTCTTTACTGC
Organism: Homo sapiens; assembly: GCF_000001405.40. Taxonomy (NCBI): domain Eukaryota; kingdom Metazoa; phylum Chordata; class Mammalia; order Primates; family Hominidae; genus Homo; species Homo sapiens. The sequence continues at coordinate 65,471,035 of NC_000001.11, read as the reverse complement.
CACATACAAGAACACTTCTGGAGCTCTTCCAGGGAAACTGCCTTCAGAAGCTGTTTTTTGAACCACGTGAAGAAGACTGTCTCATTAATTTTTACTCTTACCCACTTTACTGCTCCCAAATGACTATCAATCATCCACTTCACTCACCACACTTAACTTCAGATAATTCCTTATATGTTTTTAGAATTACCTAGTTATTACAAAATATTTTGCACATTTTTGAAATAAGGTTAGGACTTTCCCCTACACTGATGAACTTGGATAAAGAAAGCACTCATTTGGATATCGAGAAAGTTTGTTATTTAACTTGTTGCATAAAGTTTAATTCCTGTTACATATAGATAAAAGAGTTTTCATTATAAATCTTAATGGTAAAGTCATAAGCAATGTTGGGTAATCAGTGGTACATCATCCCACTAAAATCAGAAATTTCCCTCTGTTTGCTTATTTAGGAAGGGGAGCAAGGGTTTGGGAAGGGCCCCACTAGGGATTTACATTATTCATTCACAACTATATCAAGTTTGCCAATAGTTTCTACTAATTAATAAGTGTTTTCTCACATAATGAAAATGAGATTAGAGCTACTCACCAGGCAGAACTAGAACCAATGTTAAGTTACAAAATATCAACTTCAACATTGTTAGGAAAGACCAGCCAAAGATTACCGAAATCCTATTTAAAATACGTAGCTGCCAATTTCCTGGCCTCTGATTTTTGTGCTTTCACCGTGAGGGGCTTACCATAAATCCTAGAAATGATACTTGATCTCCTTGGTGATGGTGGTGAGGTAGGAGTAGTTATTTCAGCCCCTCTTGGGCTATTAAAATGTCAACATTGGCACAATAAGTGTTTAAAATAGAATGCTATTGTTTAGGGAGGAATGTGGTCAGCTAGTGGCCCAGTGGAATTTGAGAGTTTCAAATGAAAATAATGAACTAGAATTTAGGGGAAAGGATGTCTAAGGGAGGATAAGGAAAGCAAGCCAGGCAGAGAGGGAAACATTTCCCCCCAGAATAAAGCCTTTTCATTTTGTTGGCTGTATGCCACGCTTTAGAAGGCTTCCCGGCTGACTCTGACCTAATCTCACATCAAATATCAATGCTGTGTGCTGTGCGCACAGGTCAGGCCTGGCTTTCTCCATTTTAGCAGTTCTGGATCAGTGCAATAATCCTTGGAGGGTCAAGAGGCACTGAGAAAGAAATGAGAATGAGGATGAATACGGCACGCACTTATTGGTGTTAAAGCTCAGTGTCCACAGCAGTTGACTGGGCCCAGATAGGCCAGCCTAGCCCAGCTGGAAAGTGTATGTATAATCAAATAACTGCACACAGGCATATGCATACACACTGTTTTGCTAAGTGTTAGGAATGGCCACTCTCACCTTAACCCAATCATTCTAACTAGACTCAGTGCATTAATTGACTCTACCTTGCTCTTTGTGGCTGGAAAGTTCTGGTGTAAATGTCAAATTTCTCATTCTATCTCCTGATTTCTGCCCTGTACTCCTTCAAGAGAACCCGAGTATTTAGTCATCTGTTGCCAACAGTATATATTCCAAATACTCAGGCCCATCCTTATCTGGCTCCAGCCTAACTTTCTAGCCTGATAACTACTTCTGCTCTTCATGATTCTTTACTCAAATCATCCAGTCTCCAAAACACACCCTGTGATGTTCTAGTTCTGGACCTTTGCTTGTGCTCTTAGCTCTTTGTTCTCCACATTGTCCTCAACTTTCAAGTACAAGCTCAGTTATTTACTCTCACAGAATGATCTCATCACAGCTCAGGACACAGACTGACTCCATGCTCTACACCACACAGACACAGCCCTGCCTCATCTGTATTAGCCCACCGGACTCAGCATAGCTCAGGTTGACAGAAATAATTGCAACCTGGTGGTATGGACTGTGTGCAGTCCACAGACACATTTCCTTCAACACAGATTGGGCATACATGATGATTAATAAAAACTTTCTGAAATAGTTGCCAACATTTAAAAAGCAGAATTTTCCACATTCAAAAAGTAAATCTAGATTTTCAGCTTCTTTTGAAATACCAGAAAATGCATCTCAGTTCACCTTCCCGCACAGCAAAAATCACCCGGCACTGAACAGAGCAGCAGCTGTTCTGCTATTTGAGGCTTGTGTCTCCTATTAAGCATAGCTCCCAGCACTTTCTTATTTCTTATACCCAACTTGCTTTGCTCATTTAGACTTCCTAGCTGGATGCTATGGGGATTTGAGTTTGCATGTACACAATGCATCCGCATGTGCACATACACCCAGGTCACACCAACGAACTGTTGAACCTTACTCTCCCATTCATACGGTTCCATAGAGCTATAGCTCCTCCAAGGAAGAGCCCTATGACAGCAGAGCAGAAACAAACTGAACACCATAACTTGGCTCCAGCCTTCTCCCAACCAAATGTCATCTCTCTCCTCCCACACCAGATAGGAATACAGGTTCTAGTCCTCTGTGGATTTTGCCTCAACTCTCTTTTTTCCAAGGTTACAAAACAAAAATACTTACTCCTGCTCTGCCATCAATTTTTTTTAAGGAAGCTTTTTATTTTAGAATGGTTTTAGAATCACAGAAGAGTTGCTAAGAGAGTACAGATTGTTCTCGTATAACTATACCACATACCCAGTGTCCTCTATAATTTGTAACCACTGTAAACCAATTCTAATACATGAATATTAACTAACATCCATACTTTACTCAGATTTCTTTAGTTGTTCAGAGTTTCCTAACCAAATATCCTCTTTCCCTTCCTCAGATCCATCCAGGACACCACATTACATTGAGTCAGCATGTCTCCTTAGTCTCCTCTTGGCTGTAAGAGTTTCTAAGATGGGCAGTTGCTTCCAAGATGGCCAAATAGGAACAGCTCCAGTCCGCAGCTCCAGCGAGATCAATGCAGAAGACAGGTGATTTCTGCATTTCCAACTGAGGTACCTGGTTCATCTCATTGGGACTGGTTGGACAGTGGGTGCAGCCCACAGAGGGTGAGCTGAAGCAGGGCAGGGCATCACCTCACCCGGGAAGCGCAAGGGGTCAGGGGATTTCCCTTTCCTAGCCAAGGGAAACCATGACAGACTGTACCTGGAGAAAAAGTACACTCCTGACCAAATACTGTGCTTTTCCCACAGTCTTAGCAACCAGTAGACCAGGAGATTCCCTCCTGTGCCTGGCTCAGCAGGTCCCACACCCATGGAGCCTTGCTCACTGCTAGTGCAGCAGTCTGACCTGTGACACTGCAGCTTGACTGGGGGAGGAGCATCTGCCATTGCTGAGCCTTGAGTAGCTCACAGTGTAAACAAAGAGGCCAAGAAGCACGAACTGGGTGGAGCCCACCGCAGCACGGCAAGGCTCACTGCCTCTATAGATTCCACCTCTGGGGGCAGGGTATAGTAGAACAAAAGGTAGCAGACGGCTTCTGCAGACTTAAACGTCCCTATCTGACAGCTCTGAAGCGAGCAGTGGTTCTGTCAGCATTGTGTTCAAGCTCTGAGAATGGACAGACTGCCTCCTCAAGTGGGTCCCTGACCCCCGTGTAGCCTTACTGGGAAACACCTTCCAGTAGGGGCCAACAGACACCTCAAACAGGCAGGTGCCCCTCTGGGACAAAGCTTCCAGAGGAAGTATTAAGCAACAATATTTGCTGTTCTGCAGCCTCCACTGGTGATACCCAGGCAAACAGGGTCTGGAGTGGACCTCCAGCAAACTCCAACAGACCTGCAGCTGAGGGGTCTGACTGTTAGAAGCAAAACTAACAAACAGAAAGGAATAGCATCAACATCAACAAAAAGGACAGCTACACCAAAATCCCATCAGTAGGTCAATAACATCAAAGACCAAAGGTAGATAAAACCACAAAGATGGGGAGAAATGAGAGCAGAAAAGCTGAAAATTCCAAAAAATAGAGCGCCTCTTCTCCTCCAAAGGAACATAACTCCTTGCCAGCAAGGAAACGAACTGGACGAGAATGAGTTTGACCAGTTGACAGAAGTAGGCTTCAGAAGGTCGGTAATAACAAACTTCCCCGAGCTAAAGCAGCATGTTCTAACTCATCCCAAGGAAGCTAAAAACCTTGAAAAAAGGTGAGAAGAATGAATGGCTAACTAGAATAAACAATGTAGAGAAGACCTTAAATGACCTGATGGAGCTGAAAACCATGGCACAAGAACTTCGTGATGCATGCACAAGGTTCAATAGCCAATTCAATCAAGTGGAAGAAAGGATGTCAGTGATTGAAGATCAAATTAATGAAATAAAGAAAGAAGACAAGATTAGAGAAAAAAGAGTAAAAAGAAATGAACAAAGCCTCCAAGAAATATGGGACTATGTGAAAAGACCAAATCTACATCTGATTGGTGTACCAAAAGTGACGGGGAGAATGGAACCAAGTTGGAAAACACTCTTCAGGATATTATCTAGGAGAACTTCCCCAACCTAGCAAGGCAGGCCAATATTCAAATTCAGGAAATACAGAGGACACCATAAAGATACTCCTCAACAAGAGCAACCCCAAGACACATTAATTGTCAGATTCACCAAGGTCGAAATGAAGGAAAAAATGTTAAGGGCAGCCAGACAGAAAGGTCAGGCTACCCACAAAGAGAAGCCCATCAGACTAACAGCGGATCTCTCGGCAGAAACCCTACAAGCCAAAAGAGAGTGGGGGCCAATATTCAACCTTCTTAAAGAAAAGCATTTTCAACCCAGAATCTCATATGCAGCCAAACTAAGCTTCCTAAGTGAAGGAGAAATAAAATCCTTTACAGACAAGCAAATGCTGAGAGATTTTGTCACTCTAGGCCTGCCTTACAAGAGCTCTTGAAGGAAGCACTAAACATGGAATGGAACAACCGGTACCAGCCACTATGAAAACATGCCAAATGGTAAAGACCAAGGACACTATGAAGAAACTGCATCAATTAATGGGCAAAATAACCAGCTAACATCATAATGATAGGATCAAATTCAAATATAACAATATTAACCTTAAATGTAAATGGGCTAAATGCCCCAATTAAAAGACACAGGCTGGCAAATTGGATAAAGAGTCAAGACCCATCAGTGTGCTGTATTCAGGAGACCTATCTCATGTGCAAAGACACACATAGGCTCAAAATAAAGGGATGGAGGAAGATCTACCAAGCAAATGGAAAGCAAAAAAAAGCAGGGATTGCAATCCTAGTCTCCGATAAAACAGACTTTAAACCAACAAAGAACAAAAGAGGCAAAGAAGGCCACTACGTAATGGTAAAGGGATCAATTCAACAAGAAGACCTAACTATCCTAAATATGTATGTACCCAACACAGGAGCACCCAGATTCATAAAGCAAGTCCTTAGAGACCTACAAAGAGACTTAGACTCCCACACAATAATAATGGGAGACTTTAACACCTCACTGTCAATATTAGACAGATCAACGAGAAAGAAGGTTACCAAGGATAACCAGAACTTGAACTCAGCTCTGGACCAAGTGGACCTAATAGACATCTACAGAATTCTCCACCCCAAATCAACAGAATATACATTCCTCCCAGCACCACATCACACTTATTCTAAAATTGATCACATAATTGGTAGTAAAACACTCCTCAGCAAATGTAAAAGAACAGAAATCACAACAAACTGTCTCTCAGACCACAGTGCAATAAAATTAGAACTCAGGATTAAGAAACTCACTCAAAACCACACAACTACATGGAAACTGAACAACTTGCTCCTGAATGACTACAGGGTAAATTACAAAATAAAGGCAGAAATGAAGATGTTCTTTGAAACCAGTGAGAACATAGACACAATGTACCAGAATCTCTGGGACACTTTTAAAGCAGTGTGTAGAGGGAAATTTATAGCACTAACTGCCCACAAGAGAAAGGAGGAAATATCTAAAATCGACACCCTATCATCACAGTTAAAAGAAGTAGAGAAGCAAGAGCAAACATATTCAAAAGCTAGCAGAAGGCAAGAAATAACTAAGATCAGAGCAGAACTGAAGGAGATAGAGACACAAAAAACCCTTCAAAAAAATCAATGAATCCAGGAGTTGGATTTTTGAAATGATCAACAAAATAGACCGCTAGCAAGACTAATAAAGAAGAAAAGAGAGAAGAATCAAATTGACGCAATAAAAAATGATAAAAGGGATATCACCACCAATCCCACAGAAATACAAACTACCATCAGAGAATATGATAAACATCTATATGCAAATAAACTAGAAAATCTAGAAGAAATGGATTAATTCCTGGACACATACACCCTCCCAAGACTAAACCAGTGGAAGAAGTTGAATCTCTGAATAGACCAATAACAGGTTCTGAAATTGAGGCAATAATTAATAGCCTATCAACCAAAAAAAGTCCAGGACCAGATGGATTCACAGCCAAATTCTACCAGAGGTGCAAAAAGGAGCTGGTACTATTCCTTCTGAAACTATTTCAATCAATAGAAAAAGAGGATATCCTCCCTAACTCATTTTATGAGGCTAGCATTATCCTGATAGCAAAGCCTGGTAGAGACACAATAAAAAAAGAGAATTTTAGGCCAATATCCCTCATGAACATCAACGCAAAAATCCTCAATAAAATACTGGCAAACTGAATCCAGCAGCACATCAAAAAGCTTATCCACCACAATCAAGTTGGCTTCATCCCTGGGATGCAAGGCTGGTTCAACATATGCAAATCAATAAACGTAATCCATCACATCAACAGGACCAAAGACAAAATCCACATGATTATCTCAATAGATGCAGAAAAGGCCTTTGATAAAATTCAACCGCCCTTCATGCTAAAAACTCGCAATAAACTAGGTATTGATGGAACGTATCTAAAAATAATAAGAGCCATTTATGACAAACCCACAGCCAGTATCATACTGAATGGGCAAAAACTGGAAGCATTCCCTTTGAAAACCAGCACAAGACAAGGATGCCCTCTCTCACCACTCCTATTCAACATAGTATTGGAAGTTCTGGCTAGGGCAATCAAGCGAGAGAAAGAAATAAAAGGTATTGAATTAGGAAAAGAGGAAGTCAAATTGTCTCTGTTTGCAGATGACATGATTGTATATTTAGAAAACCCCATCATCTCAGCCCAAAATCTCCTTAAGCTGATAAGCAACTTCAACAAAGTCTCAGGATATAAAATCAATGTGCAAAAAATCACAAGAACTCCTACACACCAATAATAGACACACAGAGAGCCAAATCATGAATGAACTCCCATTCACAATTAATACAAAGAGGATAAAATACCTAGGAATCCAACTTACAAGGGATGTGAAGGACCTCTTCAAGGAGAACTACAAATCACTGCTCAATGAAATAAAAGAGGACACAAACAAATGGAAGAACATTCCATGTTCATGGAAAGGAAGAATCAATATCATGAAAATGGCTATACTGCCCAAGGTAATTTATGGATTCAGTGCCATCCCCATCAAGCTACCACTGACTTTCTTCACAGAATTGGAAAAAACTACTGTAAAGTTCGTATGGAACCAAAAAAGAGCCCACATAGCCAAGACAATCCTAAGCAAAAAGAACAAAGCTGGAGGCATCATGCTATCTGACTTCAAACTATACTACAAGGCTACACTAACCAAAACAGCATGGTACTGGTACCAAAACAGAGATATAGATCAATGGAACAGAACAGAGGCCTCAGAAATAATACCACACATCTACAACCATCTGATCTTTGACAAACCTGACACAAACAAGCAATGGGGAAACCTGACACAAACAACCAAATAGGGAAAGGATTCCCTATTTAATAAATGGTGCTGGGAAAACTGGCTAGCCATATGTAGAAAGCTGAAACTGGATTCCTTCCTTACACCATATACAAAAATTAACTCAAGATGGATTAAAGACTTAAATGTAAGACCTAACACCATAAAAACCCTAGAAGAAAACCTAGGTACTACCATTCAGGACATAGGCATGGGCAAAGATTTCATGACTAAAACACCAAAAGCAATAGCAACAAAAGCCAAAATTGACAAATGGTATCTAATTAAACTAAAGAGCTTCTGTACAGCAAAAGAAACTATCATCAGAGTGAACAGGCAACATATAGAATGGGAGAAAATCTTTGCAATCTACCCATCTGACAAAAGGCTAATATCTGGAATCTACAAAGAACTTAAATTTATAAGAAAAAAACAAACAACCCCATCAAAAAGTGGGCAAAGGATATAAACAGACATTTCTCAAAAGAAGACATTTATGCAGCCAACAGACATATGAAAAAATGCTCATCATCACTGGTCATCAGAGAAATGCAAATCAAAACCACAATGAGATAACATCTCATGCCAGTTAGAATGGTGATCATTAAAAAGTCAGGAAGCAACAGATGCTGGAAGGATGTGGAGAAATAGGAATGCTTTTACACTGTTGGTGGGAGTGTAAATTAGTTCAACCATTGTGGAAGACAGTGTGGCGATTCCTCAAGGATCTAGAACTAGAAATACCATTTGACCCAGTGGTCCCATTACTGGGTATATACCCAAAGGATTATAAATCTTGCTACTACAAAGACACATGCACATGTATGTTTATTGCAGCACTATTCACAATAGCAAAGACTTGGAACCAACCCAAATGTCTATCAATGATAGAACGGATTAAGAAAATGTAGCACATATACACATCATAGAATACTATGCAGCCATAAAAAGGATGAGTTCGTGTCGTTTGCAGGGACATGGATGAAGCTGGAAACCATCATTTTAAGCAAACCACCACAAGGACAGAAAACCAAACACCGCATGTTCTCACTCATAGGTGGGAGTTGAACAAGAACACATGGACACAGGGCAGGGAACATCACACATTGGGGCCTGTTGGCGGGTGGGGGGATGGGAGAGGGATAGCATTAGTAACCCTAATTAGTAATGCCTAATGTAAATGACGAGTTGATGGGTGCAGCAAAACAACATGGCACATGTATACCTACGTAACAAACCTGCACATTGTGCACGTGTACCCTAGAACTTAATGTATAATAATAATTTTAAAAAACAGTTTCTAAGACCTTAACAGATTTGGGGAGTATTGGCCAGGTATTTTATAGAAGGCCCTTCAACTGGGAGATGCCTGATGATTTTTTCACGATTAGGCTGATGTTTGGGGTTTGCTGAGGAAGACTATGGAAATAATATGCCTTTCTTATCACATCATATCAAAAATATATACCATTGATGCTGACCTTGATCCCCTGGCTGAGGTGGGGTTTGTCAGATTTTTCCACTATGAAGTTAGTTTTTCCTCTCTCCATAACTGTATTATTTTGAAGGAAGTCAGTATGCGCAACCCACACTTGAATGTGGAATTATGCTCTACCTCCTTGAGGACAGAGTATCTACATAAATTTTTTGGGATTCTTCTGTATGGGAGATCCACCTATTCTCCACTACTTGTTTATTTATTCAATCATTTATTTGTATCAGTATGGACAGACTCGTGGATATTTATTTATACTTTATAATCCAATACTATTTTGTTGACTTTGTTGCTCAAGTTTTTCTGTCTTCAGCCATTAGGAACCCTTCTCTGGCTACAGTTCCTTTTAACATATCCCCATCGTTGTGTGATTTTTTTGTTTTCTGAACACTTCCTTATGCCCTGGTACCTTAGGCCTATGTTTGTATTTCCTGCCCCAGTGCTAGAATTGACCACTTCTCCTAAGAGCCCTGGTTTATTTTACTGAAGAATGGTATTAGACAACTGGATCTGGGGCCAGGCATGGTGGCTCACGCCTGTAATCCCAGCACTTTGGGAGGCCGAGGCAGGCGGATATCTTGAGGCCAGGAGTTGGAGACTGGCCTGGCCAACATGGTAAAACCCCATCTTTACTAAAAATACAAAATTTGGCAGGCATGGTGGCGGGCGCCTGTAATCCCACTTACTCGGGAGGCTGAGACAGGAGAATTGCTTGAACCCAGGAGACGGAGGTTGCAGTGAGCCAAGATTCCACCATTGCACTCTGGCCTGGGCAACAGAGTTAGACTCCATCAAAAAAAAAAAAAAAGAAAAGAAAGAAAAGAAAAAAATGGGATCTAGGTTCCTGTCTTCCATTTGATGTATTTTTATTTTTCTCAATACCCAATTTCTAATTTTACAAAGTATTTCAAAGGTTTTGTTTTTGTTTCTGTTTTTGTTTTTGTTTTGAGACAGAGTGTCACTCTGTCACCCAGACCAGAGTGCAGTGGCACAGTCTTGGCTCACTGCAACCTCAGTCTCCCGGGTGAAAGCGATTCTCCTGTAGTTGGGACTACAGGTGCACACCACCAAGCCCGGCTAATTTTTGTATTTTTAGTAGAGACGGGGTTTCACCATGTTGGCCAGGCTGGTCTCGAACGGCCTCCCAAACTGCCAGGATTCCAAGCGTGAGCCATCGCGCATGGCCCCTCTTGAAGGTCATCTTTTTGGTGAAGAGTTCCATGACTTTGTCTAATAATTCTTTCTTTGAAAGATATTTAACACATTATTATTCTGAGTAGGGGGCACGAGTACATGGATCTGTATCTATGCACACACAGTAGAGAGCCAGATCCATAGAAAGAAAAAAATGGGTAATGAGATAACAAAAGCTCAATTATTTTAGAGACTCCACTGTAACATGTACCTCAGCTACACTCTTTCCAGCACTCAGGGAGGTGGTGGTACAGAGCCATGACAATCAGAGCACTGTGATCAGGAGGACCTGAGGTGACTCCTGACTCTGGCACTTGCTAGCTGTGTTCTTTGGGAAAGTTACTTTCTCTCTCTGAGCTTCAGTCCTCAGCTATAAAACAGAGATCACTCATTCATTCAACAACTATATAGTATTTTTTATGAGCACTTACTACTTGCCGGGTACTCTTCTTATTGCTGATATGTAATATAGATTATGGTCTGGCTCTTACTTGGCTTATTACTATGTGGATAAGAACATAGTAAAAAAAAAAAAAAGGATAATTTAGTGATAAGTACCGTGAAGAAAACTAAACAGCAAAACAACAGAAGGTATTATAGGCATGTGGGCTCATTTTAGATTATTCAAATGAGGTCACATTTAACAAAGACCCAAATATTAATAGAGAGCTAGTTATATAAAGATATAGGGGAAACTTGTTCCAAGCATGGAGTATAGCAAGGGCAAAGGTTCTGAGGTAAGATGAGCTTGGAGTGTGCAAATAACAGAGAATGGCTAAAATGGTGGAAAGTAGGCAGGGTGGACCTCCAATAATGTTGAAGAAATAGGTAGAGAGTAAATCATTATAGGTGCTGGCAAAGAATTGGAATATATCCTATGTGTAATGGGCAGTTCTGCCAGTTATTAATTTATTACATTTGAGTTATAAATTCACGCTTCTTTGTCCTGGGTTGGGATGGCAGAGCTGGATCCTGTGAACATTTCCCTTTGTTAGTTGGACAATGGTAAGCTTTGCCAGTAGAGGGCATTAGAAAGATGCTGAGGGAAGAAGGAGCTCCACTTCCTGATTTGAGTGCTTTTTTGGTTTGTTCTTGCTGCACATAGCTGCCAGTGGCATGTGAGATAGGTAGAAGATGCCTCCCCAGTGAGCTTTGCTGGCACTCCTAAGGGTGGCTTTCTAGTGAGTTTGGCCAGCATACCATAGGGCAGCTTCCAAGTGAGTTTCAGGATTGTCCTCACAGGTACACTTCCCAGCTAGTCTTTCCAGCACCCTGAAGGGCAACTCTCAGAGGTCAGCTCCCCAGAGAATTCAGTAGCACCCCAGCTGGCTTCTCGGTAACTACCACTGGCAACACCATGGGTGATTCTCTGCCTGCCAACATCTTAGCCAACTTCATCATCCAAGGGTGCTGAGTCACATACTGTGGACAACGACCTGTTGTCCTAAGAGAAACTGAACAACAAAAAAAATCTTTCTACACTTTGGGAGACAGACAGGAATACATGCAGAGCTCTTAGCCAGATAAGCATAAAATCTCACACTAAAGGTGTATTTACATCAGTTCCTTTCACCTATAGATTATGTCTGTCTCACAGAAATGAAGAGTGCCTTTGATGGACTCAGCAGTAGACTGGATATGGCTGAGATAAGAATTGTTGAGTTTGCAAATATGTTAATAGAAACTGCCAAATTGCAAAGCAAAGAGAAGAAAGACTGAAAAGAAATGGTGCAAATATCCAAGAACTGTGGAACACTTACAGAAGGATAATAAAGGTATAATGGGACTAACAAAAGGAGGAGAAAAAAAGGAACAGAAAAAATAAAGAAACATTGGCTGAGAATTTTCCAAAATTAATAGCAGACACCAAACCAAAGATTCAGGAAGCTCACACAATGCCAAGCAGGAAAAATACCAAGAAATATCTACACCCAGGAATATCATACATAAACTGCAGAAAATCAAAGACAAAAGAAAATCCTTAAAGAAGCTATAGGAAGGCAAAAAAACAAAAACAAAACAAAAACCCCTTACCTACTGGAGGAACAAGGATAAGTATTACGTTGGAATTCTCTTCAAAAACGACTCAAACAAGAATAAGGTAGAGTAAAATAAAGTGTTGAAAGAAATAAATCACCAATTTAGAATTCTGTATCCAGCAAAATTTTCATTCAAAAGGGAAACAAAGATTTTCTCAAATGAAAATTGAGGGACTTTGTTGTCAGTAAACATGCCTTGAAAGAAATGTCAAGAGTTCTTCAGAAAGAGGGAAAATAATATAGGCCTGAAACTCAGATCTAAATGAAGATGGGAGGAATATTTGAGAAGGAATAAATGAAGGTACCACTATGGTGACTCTAGGAGGTGAAAGAGCTAAAGGAGCCTCCTGTATCTCACATAAAAAGACTTTCCCTCCACTATTACCATAATTTGTCCCTCAGTATGAATTAAGTTCAAAAATGTTTTCATCTAAATTTGAGGTTTGTGGATTTCCTGCAGTAGTCAAAGCTGTTCTCAGCACTATGGTTGCTCCAGTATCACATTGTTGGCACATTTCAAATTGCTTGCCATGTAAGTTTTATAGGCCTCAACTTTGTAGGTATTCATGTATCATAGGCTAACTCAAGTGTACTCAAGATGCATAAAAGGGAAAGGAGGCTACTGGCCTTTGAGAACTCAAAACTCATGCAGGTGAACCATTCATATTGGGTACAAATATACTATCAACTTCAGCTTTGAAATTACATGAGTAGTTTGCTTTACCTATGGATTTGGATTCTGTTGTAGCCTGTCTCGAAATTTAAAAAGAAAAGAAACAAAGAAACATGAGAACACTGTAAACACTGTAAGTGGATGCTGAGAAAAAAGGTGGACACATGGAGCTAAAGAGTGGAATTATAGACAATGAAGACTCAGAAAGGGGAAGAGGTGAGAGGGCAGGTGAGGAGAAATTACTTAATAGGTACAATGTATGTTATTCTGGTGATAAATACCATAAAAGCCCTGACTTGACCAGTATGCGTGTAACAAAATTGCACCTGTACCCCATACATCTATATAAACAATTTTTTTGAACCATGTAATAGACATGAAGAATGGCTTTGATGGCTTATTAGTAGAGTGAACGTGGCTGAGGAAAGAATTTCTGAGACTGGGGATCTATCAGTAGAAACCTCCAAAACTGAAAAGCAAAGAGAATAAAGACTAGAAAAAGCAGGACAGCATATTCAAGAACTGTGAAACAACTACAAAATATAAACATATGCATAATATGAATACAGAAGGAGAAGAAAGTGAAGGAAAAATTAAAAACTTCTATTTTTCTTATTCTTAACTGATCTAAGATGTAACAGTTTTCAAAATAGTAATAGCAATAACGTATTAGGTTATATATGCTTATGTATATATCTTATGTGTATCTATATGCTTATGTATGCTTACATATAAGTAAAATGAATAACAGCATTGACACAAGGGATAGGAGGAAAGAATTGGGTTACTTTGTTACTAAAAACACTACCCATGAAGCAGTATAGTGTTATTTGAAGGATTGGATTCTTGCAAATGTATACTGCATATTTTAGGGCAAACACTAAAAAATGTTTAAATAAACAGATACAATAGATATGGAAAAAAGTATAACAGAGAAAATGGAACCATGTAAAGTATTTAATTAAAAATACAAAAGACAGAAAAAGAGTGGAAGACAAAAACAGGGTCAAAGAACAAGGGCAACAAATAAAAATCTAACAAATAGAGTAGGTATTAATCCCACTATATCAATAATCACTTTGCATGTCAGTGGTCTAATGCACCAATCAAAGACAGAGACTGTTGGAGTGGATGAAGAAACCAGACCCAAGTATATGTTGTCTACAATTAACCAGCTTTAAAAATAGACAGTATAGATTAAAAACAAATGGATAAAGATATACCATACTAACACTAATCAAAAGAAAACAAGAGTACCTCTATTAATTTCATTAAGAGCAGACTTCAAAGCAAAAATAGTTATCAGGGACAAAGAGGGGCATTACATAGCAATAAAGAGGTCTGTTCTCTAAGAAGATATACAATCCTTAATATGTATGTGCCTAACCACATACATTAAAATGAGAGGCAAAAACATCAGAACTGCAAAGAGAAATAGATGAATCCATGATTGTAGTTGGAGACCTGAATACTCCTCTGTCAGAAATGGACAGATCCAGCAGGCATAAAACCAGTAAGGACAAAGTTGAACTCAACAACACCATCAATTAACTGGATATAATTAACATCTATGGGGGGAGGAGCCAAGATGGCCGAATAGGAACAGCTCTGGTCTACAGCTCCCAGCGTGAGCCACGCAGAAGACGGGTGATTTCTGCATTTCCATCTGAGGTACCAGGTTCATCTCACTAGGGAGTGCCAGACAGTGGGCGCAGGTCAATGGGTGCGCGCACCGTGCACGAGCCGAAGCTGGGCGAGGCATTGCCTCACTCGGGAAGCGCAAGGGGTCAGGGAGTTTCCTTTCCTAGTCAAAGAAAGGGGTGACAGATGGCACCTGGAAAATCGGGTCACTCCCACCCGAATACTGTGCTTTTCCGACGGGCTTAAAAAATGGCGCACCAGGAGATTATACCCTGCACCTGGCTCGGAGGGTCCTATGCCCACGGAGTCTCACTGATTGCTAGCACAGCAGTCTGAGATCAAACTGCAAGGCGGCAGCAAGGCTGGGGGAGGGGCGCCCACCATTGTCCAGGCTTGATTAGGTAAACAAAGCAGCCAGGAAGCTCGAACTGGGTGGAGCCCACCACAGCTCAAAGAGGCCTGCCTGCCTCTGTAGGCTCCACCTCTGGGGGCAGGGCACAGACAAACAAAAAGACAGCAGTAACCTCTGCAGACTTAAATGTCCCTGTCTGACAGCTTTGAAGAGAGCAGTGGTTCTCCCAGCACGCAGCTGGAGATCTGAGAACGGACAGACTGCCTCCTCAAGTGGGTCCCTGACCCCTGACCCCCGAGCAGCCTAACTGGGAGGCACCCCCCAGCAGGGGCAGACTGACACCTCACATGGCCGGGTACTCCAACAGACCTGCAGCTGAGGGTCCTGTCTGTTAGAAGGAAAACTAACAAACAGAAAGGACATCCACACCAAAAACCCATCTGTACATCACCATCATCAAAGACCAAAAGTACATAAAACCACAAAGATGGGGAAAAACAGAGCAGAAAAACTGGGAACTCTAAACAGCAGAGCACCTCTCCTCCTCCAAAGGAATGCAGTTCTTCACCAGCAACGGAACAAAGCTGGACAGAGAATGACTTCGACGAGCTGAGAGAAGAAGGCTTCAGACGATCAAATTACTACGAGCTACGGGAGGAAATTCAAACCAAAGGCAAAGAAGTTGAAAACTTTGAAAAAAGTTTAGAAGAATGCATAACTAGAATAACCAATACAGAGAAGTGCTTAAAGGAGCTGATGGAGCTGAAAACCAAGGCTTGAGAACTACGTGAAGAAGGCAGAAGCCTCAGGAGCCGATGCGATCAACTGGAAGAAAGGGTATCAGCGATGGAAGATGAAGTGAATGAAATGAAGTGAGAAGGGAAGTTTAGAGAAAAAAGAATAAAAAGAAACGAGCAAAGCCTCCAAGAAATATGGAACTATGTGAAAAGACCAAATCTACGTCTGATTGGTGTACCTGAAAGTGACGGGGAGAATGGAACCAAGTTGGAAAACACTCTGCAGGATATCATCCAGGAGAACTTCCCCAATCTAGCAAGGCAGGCTAACATTCAGATTCAGGAAATACAGAGAACGCCACAAAGATACTCCTCGAGAAGAGCAACTCCAAGACACATAATTGTCAGATTCACCAAAGTTGAAATGAAGGAAAAAATGTTAAGGGCAGCCAGAGAGAAAGGTTGGGTTACCCACAAAGGGAAGCCCATCAGACTAACAGTGGATCTCTCGGCAGAAACCCTACAAGCCAGAAGAGAGTGGGGGCCAATATTCAACATTCTTAAAGAAAAGAATTTTCAACCCAGAATTTCATATCCAGCCAAACTAAGTTTCATAAGTGAAGGGGAAATAAAATACTTTACAGACAAGCAAATGCTGAGAGATTTTGTCACCACCAGGCCTGCCCTAAATGAGCTCCTGAAGAAAGCGCTAAACATGGAAAGGAACAACCGGTACCAGCCGCTGCAAAATCATGCCAAAATGTAAAGACCATCGAGACTACGAAGAAACTGCATGAACTAACGAGCAAAAGAACCAGCTAACATCATAATGACAGGATCAGATTCACACATAACAATATTAACTTTAAATGTAAATGGACTAAACGTTCCAATTAAAAGACACAGACTGGCAAATTGGATACGGAGTCAAGACCCATCAGTGTGCTGTATTCAGGAAACCCATCTCACGTGCAGAGACACACATAGGCTCAAAATAAAAGGATGGAGGAAGATCTACCAAGCAAATGGAAAACAAAAAAAGGCAGGGGTTGCAATCCTAGTCTCTGATAAAACAGACTTTAAACCAACAAAGATCAAAAGAGACAAAGAAGGCCATTACATAATGGTAAAGGGATCAATTCAACAAGAAGAGCTAACTATCTTAAATATATATGCACCCAATACAGGAGCACCCAGATTCATAAAGCAAGTCCTGAGTGACCTACAAAGAGACTTAGACTCCCACACAATAATAATGGGAGACTTTAACACCCCACTGTCAACATTAGACAGATCAACGAGACAGAAAGTCAACAAGGATACCCAGGAATTGAACTCAGCTCTGCACCAAGCGGACCTAATAGACATCTAACAGAACTCTCCACCCCAAATCAACAGAATATACATTTTTTTTCAGCACCACACCACACCTATTCCAAAATTGACCACATACTTGGAAGTAAAGCTCTCCTCAGCAAATGTAAAAGAACAGAAATTATAACAAACTGTCTGTCAGACCACAGTGCAGTCAAACTAGAACGCAGGATTAAGAATCTCACTCAAAACCGCTCAACTACATGGAAACTGAACAACCTGCTCCTGAATGACTACTGGGTACATAACAAAATGAAGGCAGAAATAAAGATGTTCTTTGAAACCAACGAGAACAAAGACACAACATACCAGAATCTCTGGGATGCATTCAAAGCAGTGCGTCGAGGGAAATGTATAGCACTAAATGCCCACAAGAGAAAGCAGGAAAGATCCAAAATTGACACCCTAACATCACAATTAAAAGAATTAGAGAAGCAAGAGCAAACACATTCAAAAGCTAGCAGAAGGCAAGAAATAACTAAAATCAGAGCAGAACTGAAGGAAATAGAGACACAAAAAACCCTTCAAAAAATTAATGAATCCAGGAGCTGGTTTTTTGAAAGGATCAACAAAATTGATAGACTGCTAACAAGACTAATAAAGAAAAAAAGAGAGAAGAATCTAATAGACGCAATAAAAAATGATAAAGGGGATATCACCACCAATCCCACAGAAATACAAACTACCATCAGAGAATACTACAAACACCTCTATGCAAATAAACTAGAAAATCTAGAAGAAATGGATAAATTCCTCGACATATACACTCTCCCAAGACTAAACCAGGAAGAAGTTGAATCTCTGAATACACCAATAACAGGATCTGAAATTGTGGCAACAATCAATAGCTTACCAACCAAAAAGAATCCAGGACCAGATGGATTCACAGCCGAATTCTACCAGAGGTACAAGGAGGAACTGGTACCATTCCTTCTGAAACTACTCCAATCAATAGAAAAAGAGGGAATCCTCCCTAACTCATTTTATGAGGCCAGCATCATCCTGATACCAAAGCCGGGCAGAGACACAACAAAAAAAGAGAATTTTAGACCAATATCCTTGATGAACATTGATGCAAAAATCCTCAATAAAATACTGGCAAACCGAATCCAGCAGCACATCAAAAAGCTTATCCACCATGATCAAGTGGGCTTCATCCCTGGGATGCAAGGCTGGTTCAATATACGCAAATCAATAAATGTAATCCAGCATATAAATAGAACCAAAGACAAATACCACATGATTATCTCAATAGATGCAGAAAAGGCATTTGACAAAATTCAACAACCCTTCATGCTAAAAACTCTCAATAAATTAGGTATTGATGGGACGTATCTCAAAATAATAAGAGCTATCTATGACAAACCCACAGCCAATATCATACTGAATGGGCAAAAACTGGAAGCATTCCCTTTGAAAACTGGCACAAGACAGGGATGCCCTCTCTCACCACTCCTATTCAACATAGTGTTGGAAGTTCTGGCCAGGGCAATTAGGCAGGAGAAGGAAATAAAGGGTATTCAATTAGGAAAAGAGGTAGTCAAATTGTCCCTGTTTGCAGACGACAGGATTGTATATCTAGAAAACCCCATTGTCTCAGCCCAAAATCTCCTTAAATTGATAAGCAACTTCAGCAAAGTCTCAGGATACAAAATCAATGTACAAAAATCACAAGCATTCTTATACACCAATAACAGACAAACAGACAGCCAAATCATGAGTGAACTCCCATTCACAATTGCTTCAAAGAGAATAAAATACCTAGGAATCCAACTTACAAGGGATGTGAAGGACCTCTTCAAGGAGAACTACAAACCACTGCTCAAGGAAATAAAAGAGGATACAAACAAATGGAAGAACATTCCATGCTCATGGGTAGGAAGAATCAATATTGTGAAAATGGCCATACCGCCCAAGGTAATTTACAGATTCAATGCCATACCCATCAAGCTACCAATGACTTTCTTCACAGAATTGGAAAAAACTACTTTAAAGTTCATATGGAACCAAAAAAGAGCCCGCATCACCAAGTCAATCCTAAGCCAAAAGAACAAAGCTGGAGGCATCACTCTACCTGACTTCAAACTATACTACAAGGCTACAGTAACCAAAACAGCACGGTACTGGTACCAAAACAGAGATATAGATCAGTGGAACAGAACAGAGCCCTCAGAAATAATGCTGCATATCTACAACTATCTGATCTTTGACAAACCTGAGAAAAACAAGCAATGGGGAAAGGATTCCCTATTTAATAAATGGTACTGGGAAAACTGGCTAGCCATATGTAGAAAGCTGAAACTGGATCCCTTCCTTACACCTTATACAAAAATCAATTCAAGATGGATTAAAGACTTAAACATTAGACCTAAAACCATAAAAACCCTAGAAGAAAACCTAGGCATTACCATTCAGGACATAGGCATGGGCAAGGACTTCATGTCTAAAACACCAAGAGCAATGGCAACAAAAGCCAAAATTGACAAATGGGATCTAATTAAACTAAAGAGCTTCTGCACAGCAAAAGAAACCACCATCAGAGTGAACAGGCAACCTACAAAATGAGAGAAAATTTTCGCAACCTACTCATCTGCCAAAGGGCTAATATCCAGAATCTACAATGAACTCAAAGTAATTTACAAGAAAAAAACAAACAACCCCATCAAAAAGTGGGCAAAGGACATGAACAGACACTTCTCAAAAGAAGACATTTATGCAGCCAAAAAACACATGAAAAAATGCTCACCATCACTGGCCATCAGAGAAATGCAAATCAAAACCACAATGAGATACCATCTCACACCAGTTAGAATGGCAATCATTAAAAAGTCAGGAAACAACAGGTGCTGGAGAGGATGTGGAGAAATAGGAATGCTTTTACACTGTTGGTGGGACTGTAAACTAGTTCAACCATTGTGGAAGTCAGTGTGGCGATTCCTCAGGGATCTAGAACTAGAAATATCATTTGACCCAGCCATCCCATTACTGGGTGTATACCCAAAGGACTATAAATCATGCTGCTATAAAGACACATGCACACGTATGTTTATTGCGGCATTATTCACAATAGCAAAGACTTGGAACCAACCCAAATGTCCAACAATGATAGACTGGATTAAGAAAATGTGGCACATATACACCATGGAATACTATGCAGCCATAAAAAATGATGAGTTCATGTCCTTTGTAGGGACATGGATGAAATTGGAAATCATCATTCTCAGTAAACTATCGCAAGAACAAAAAACCAAACACTGCATATTCTCACTCATAGGTGGGAATTGAACAATGAGAACACATGGACACAGGAAGGGGAACATCACACTCTGGGGACTGTTGTGGGGTGGTGGGAGGGGGGAGGGATAGCATTGGGAGATATACCTAATGCTAGATGACGAGTTAGTGGGTGCAGCGCACCAGCATGGCACATGTATACATATGTAACTAACCTGCACAATGTGCACATGTACCCTATAACTTAAAGTATAATAATAATAAATTTTTTAAAAAAGCATTTAATCTGGAACAAAAAAAAAATCTATGGACTACTTCATCCAACTTTTGCAGAAAACATTTTCTTCTCCAGTTCACATGGAACATTTAGCAAGATAGACCACATTCTGGGCCATAAAACACACCTTAGCAAATTTAAAACAACATCTGCTCTCAAACCACAATAGAATTAAACTAAAAATTTAATAACGGAAACACAACCGGACAATTCCAAAATACATGGAGATTAAACAACACACTTCAAAATAACACATGGGTCACAAGAGAAATCTCAGAGAAATTTAAAATTATTTTTAACTAAATGAAAATAAAAGCATGACTTTTCAAAATTTGTGGGATACAGTAAAAACAGTGCTTAGATGAACATTTATGCCATTAAATGTATATATTAGAAAGGAAGAAAGATATAAAATCAATCATCTAGGCTTTCACCTTAAAAAACTAGAAAAAAGAGGAACAAATTAATTCTAAAGAAAGAATAAGAAATAATAAAAATGAAAGCAGAAATCAATGAAATTGAAAACAGAAAATCAATAGAAAAAAAATCAATGAAACTAAAAGCTATTTAAAAAAAAAAAAAAGATAAATAGGCCCTGGACATGGAGATTGCCACCTACAGGTAGTTGCCGGAGGGAAGCTGGGCTCCAGCTTTGGCTCTGGCACAGGCTCCAGCTCCTTCAGCTGCAGCAGCTCCACCAGGGCTGTAGTTGTGAAGAAAATCAAGACCTGTGATGGGAGGCTGGTGTTCGAGTCCTCTGATGTCCTGCCCAAGTGAACAGCCATGGCAGCCCCTCCCAGCCTACCCTTCCTGCGGCTGCCCCAGGGTCCGAGAGGGAGGCAGCTGTGCAGGGGAGCACAGGGAACAGGAGACCCACCTGAGGCTTAGCCCTTGCCCTCAGCCCATCCCCAGGAGGAGTTCACTGCCTGAGGCACTCTCCAGCTACAAAACAATTCAATTGCTCTTTTTTTCCAAAATAAAACCTCAGCAAAAAAAAAAAAAAAAAAGATAAATAAAACCACTAAGCCTCTAGCTAGGATAACCAAGAAAAACAAAAAGATGACACAAATTCCTAATATCAGAAATGAGGCCAGGTGCAGTGGCTTACGCCTTTGGGAGGCCAAGGCAGGTGGATCGCTAGAGGTTAGGAGTTCGAGACCAGCCTGACCAATATAGTGAAACCCTAGCTCTACTAAAAATACAAAAATTAGCTGGGCTTGGTGGTGGGCACCTGTAATCCCAGCTACTGGGGAGGTTGAGGCAAGAGAGTCGTTTGAACCTGGGAGGTGGAGGTTGCAGTGAGCCAAGATAGCACCACTGCACTCCAGCCTGGGCGACAGACCAAGACTCCATCTCAAAAACAACAACAACAACAAAGCAAGAAAGGATAGAGGGAACATCATTACAGATCCCACGGACACTAACGGGATAATAATGGACAACTATGAACAACTTTATGACCACAAATTTAATTTGATAACCTAGATGAAATGGACCAATTTTTTGAAAGACATAATCTGCCAAAACTCACACAAGAATCAATAAATAATCTGAGTAGGCCAATATTTATTAAAGAAATTGAATTAATAAATAATAACCTTCCAAAACAGAAAGCACAAGGCCTAGATAGTTTCACTGGTAATATCTACCAAACATTTAAGGAAGAAATTATACCAACTCTCTACAATCTCTTTTAGAAGACAGAAGCAGAGGGAATACTTCCCCACTCATTCTATGAGGCCAGCATTACCTTATTACCAAAACCAGACAAAGACATTACATAAAAAGACTACAGATCCAATATCTTTCATGAACACGGATGCAAAATCCTCAACAAGATATTAGCAAATTGAATCTAACAATGTATAAAAAGAATTATACACCATGAGCAAGTGGAATTCATCCCAGATATGCAAAGCTGGTTTAACATTCAAAAATCAATTAATGTAAAATTCACTACATCAACAGGCTAAAGGAAAAAAATCACATAATCATATTAATATATGCAGAAAAAGCTTTTGACAAACTCCAACACACATTCATGATAAAAGCTGTCAGTAAACTAGGAATGGAGTGGATCTTCCTCAACTTCATAAAGAATGTCTACAAAAAACCTGCAGCTAACATCATACTTAATGATAAGAAGCATGAGGCTTTCTCACCAAGATCAAGAGCAAGATAAGGATGTTCCCTCTCACCACTCCTTTTCAACATCATATTGGAAATCCTAGATAATACTGGGATAAGAACATGAAATGAAAGGTACATGGATCTGGAAGGAATATATATTACTGTCTTTGTTCACAGAAGACATAGTTGTTCATGTAGAAAATCCAAAAGAATAAACAACAGACTCCTGGAACTAATAAGTAACTAGAGCAAGATTAATATACAAAAGTCAATCACTTTCCTATGTATGAGCAATGAACAAGTGGAATTTGAAATTAAAAACACAATACAGCACTTTAGGAGGCTGAGGTGAATGAAATCACTTGGGGCCCAGGAGCTTGAGACCAGTCTGGGCAACATGGCAAAAACCCATATCTGCAAAACAAAAATACAAAAAAATTAGCCAGGTATGGTGGTGCACACCTGTAGTCCCAGGTACTCAAGGGGCTGAGGTGGGAAGATCACCTGAGCCCAGGAGGCCAAAGTTACAAGTGAGCCAAGATTGCACCATTGCACTCCAGCCTGGGTGAGAGGGTGAGACCCTGTATCAAAAAAAAAAAAAAAGAAAAGAAAAATCACAATACCATTTATACCAGCACCCCCAAAACCAAACTACTTCGGTATAAATCCAACAAATTATGTACAAGATCTATATGAGGAAAACTATAGAACTCTAATGAAAGAAATCAAATAGAAACTAAATAAATGGAGAGACAGTCCCTGTTCATGAATAGGAAGACTCAACAGATGGTGCTGGAATAATTGGATTTCAATATACAAGGAAGGAAGGAAAGGAAGGAGGGAGGGCCTTGATTGATCACTCATACCCTTTACAAAAAATTAACTCAAATGTATTACAGACCTAAATCTAAAATTTTAAACTATAAAACTTTGAAGAAAACATAGGAGAAAATCATCACGACATTAGGCAAAGATTTCTAAGAAGATGCCAAAACTATGATCCATCCAAGAAAAAAAAAAGATGATAAATTTAATCCTAGCACTTTGGGAGGCTGAGGCAGGTGGATCACATGAGCCCAGGAGTTTGAGACCAGCCTGGGCAACATGGCGAAATCCTGTCTCTACACACAATACAAAAATTAGCCAGGCATGGTGGTGGGCACCTGTAGTCCCAGCTACTCAGGAGGCTGAGGTGAGAGGATCACCTGAGCCCTGAAGGTTGAGGCTGCAGTGAGCCATGATTGTGCCACTGCACTCCAGCCTGAGTGACAGAGTGAGACCCTGTCTCAAAAAAGATAAATTAGATTTTATCAAAAATTTAAACTTCTGCTCTTCCAAAGATGCTAAGGATTTGAAAAGACTCCCACATCATCTAGCAGTTAGGAAAAAGAAAAAAGAAAAAGAAAATTAAAAGACCAGCCATGCACTGGATAAATATTTGCAAATGAGATATACAATAAAGCCTTGAGTTCAGAATATATAAAGATCTTTCAAAACTCAGTATTAAGAAATCACACAACTCAATAAAGAAATGGACCAATAATTTCTATAGACATTTTACTGAAGATAGAAAGATTATAAATAAGTACATTAAAAGATTCTTAACATCATTAGTCAGAAGGGACCTCGCTGATAAAACAGGTTGCAGTAAAGAAGCTGGCCAAAACCCACCCAAACCCACATGGCAATGAAAGTGACCTCTGTTCGATATCATTGCTCATTATACACTAATTATAATGTATTAGCATACCAAAAGACACTCCCACTAGCGCCATGACAGTTTACAGATGCCATGGCAATGTCATTACCCTATATGGTCTAAAAAAGGGTAGGAACTATTAGAATGGCTAAAATTTAACAACTGACAATTCTATTTACTGATGAGCATGCAGAACTAGGACTCTCATACATTGTTGGTTGGAATGCAAAATTGTACAGCCACTTTGGAAAACAAAATCCCAGTTTAGTACAAAGTTAAAAACAGACTTACCATTCAACTCAGAAATCCAGCTCCTACATATTTACCCAAGTGAAAAGACTCATTGGTATATCAGATAAAAATACAGTCAGCACCTCAACTAATAATATCTCTGGTCATTACGCAATCTCATTTGACTTAGTGGTATCTCACAAAATAGGATGACAATACTTTTCTTAGTTGGAAAACAATTTTATCCTAAAAAAGATTTAAAATTAAGCATAGAAATATTGAAAAGAACCCCATAATATTAATGGTTTTGTGTTAAATCTGCATATTTGATTACTTTATGTCCTTAAAATGTTAAGAGAGTTTCACCTGTTCCTGTTAGCAGGTTAATTTACAACATGTAATTGAGAATTGATTAAGTCTTCTATATTAGTTGAAATTTCTTAAGTTCACTTGCAGAAATGGCATGTGTAGAAAAAAAACAAAACTCTAAGTTCAGTGTGTGTTACAAGTTAGAGATTCTTACTTAAAATTGCTAATACATTGAAAGATTTGCTGTTTAAAAAAAAAAAACTCTATTCAGTTAAAGTAATCACCAAAAGCTCCACAGAAAAACAAGTATTGGCTGATCCTGGTAGTGAGTTTCGCACAGATCCACTCATTATCTTCACGTTATAAAGACTTTAAGAAGGAAGATAAAATTACAGCCAGCACCCAGTGATGTCTTACACCATAGTGGATACGTGAACAAGATGTGTCATTTGGGGTTCGAAGGACAGAAGGAAGAATGATACTTACCAGCAACTTTGCCCCACATGCAGTATATTAACCTCTCTAAGCAAGTGACATTCCTTTTACCAAAAAACAAACTAACAAACCTACCTTAATTCATAGTTGACCTTTATTTATTTATTATTGACTTTGTCCAAATATACATTGAACACAGCCAGGAGCAGCATTTACAATCTGTGCAGCTTGGCAAAGGGCTTTTTGACTTGTGCTGCCCGTAAGAAGAATTAATTTAAACTCAGTTTTCAGCCATAGATAAGGTAAACTGTACCTTGGATGTACCCAAGATGGTACCAATTTACACCTATTGTCCCAACATAATGGATAACACCTACTTCTGCTCTCAAAAGTGTCCCAATTAGGATGGCAATCCATAGCCTACACATCTAGCTTGCAGCCCATTTAGATTGGCATCTGTAGAGTACAAAGTCGCTGCCCTTGAAGTCAAAAAACTTGGGTCTGAGTAACAGTCAGGTTATTTGTCATCTAAGGCAAGCCCCTTAACCTTGAAGAGCCTCGAGATTTTCCAGTGATGCTGCTGCTTTTTCATTGTTATATGGACCTAATTGACACAGTTTTGTAAACTCTTAATGACTATATGAGCACACATTATTACAACAATAAAGCAAGAGGATGTTAGCAAAAGTAAAAATTGTAATAACATAAAGAATTCAAAATATTTAATAATTTTTAACTCAGTGCCACTTTTCTCATTTAAATAAAGTTATTCATCCCTTCCTCCTTTCCTCTCCTTTGTTTTCTTCTCTTCGATATTTTTTGAGTCCCTACTACTTTGCTGTAGGAGCAAAGGGATTTCCCTCCCCACCCCACCCCCCGCCCGCCTCCACCCTTCTGAAAGTTTGTTAATCTGAGTCTATAAAAGAAACTGACAATAGCCAGATTCATGGGAGACAAAGTATACACATTTATCACATGCACATGTGCACAGGAGCCACACAAACTACGAGACTCGAAGAATCAAAGAAGGGCCAGATAGTTGAAGCTTCAATAGCATTTTAAGCTACAGAAAGAAATAGGGTCCTAAAGGCTCCTGCAGGGAGGTAGCAACACATTATGAGAGGGTGTGGGGAGGAAAGGCATGGTGAGCAAAGGCTGTCTTGTGATGCAGATGAAGTCTCTCTGGGAGCAGCCCTCAGAAGGAAGAGATGCAGCAAAAGTTTCACTGTCCAAACTTTAAAAGTATCAGGTCTTAACACCGCATATTCTCACTCATAGGTGGGAATTGAACAATGAGATCACATGGACACAGGAAGGGGAATATCACACTCTGGGGACTGTGGTGGGGTCGGGGGAGGGGGGAGGGATAGCATTGGGAGATATACCTAATGCTAGATGACACATTAGTGGGTGCAGCGCACCAGCATGGCACATGTATACATATGTAACTAACCTGCACAATGTGCACATGTACCCTAAAACTTAGAGTATAAAAAAAAAAAAAAAAAAAAAGTATCAGGTCTTTAGTCTCCTTTTCTTATTGAGTTCCTTTTTCCTGATCCAGATAGGTGGACCTCAGAGAAAGCCTCTGTGTCTGTTCTTTACCTCACCAATGCAGATTTCCTCTACAGATGCAAATCTACCCCCAAAAGAACAGCTTTTCAGAACTATTCCTGTCTGCTACTTCTCTGAATAACCAACTGAAAATACGCCAAAGAAGTATATTTTGAGGTGACATATTTTGGTTTCCCACAGTGTCAGGCACTATTCTAGGTACTATATGAAGAAAGGATTCCAAAAGAAGACCGAGATGTGGCTCTGTCCAATATGAACTCATCCAATCATTTTTCCAGTATTCATTGAATGCTTAATACTTTATCCCTTAGTATTTAAATATAGTATATCTTTTTATATATTTAGAGCTTATATACCCAGCAAAAAATTTTTGAAATTTTTCTCCAAGTATTGCACATCTTTATAACATCAGATATAGATGTGTATATATAAAATTATATATATATATTATAATCATTTATGTAATTGTTCCTATTGAAAATTTGGAAAATTGCATTTTCAGAGACAGGGTCTTGCTATGTTGCTCAGGCAGGTCTCGAACTCCTGGGCTCAAGTGATCCTCCCACCTCAGCCTCCCAAAATGCTGGGATTATTGGCTTAAGCCACTGTGCCCAGTGCATTTTCTAATTAGTTAGTACTGGTGTTTAGGAAAGCAATTGATTTTTTTGATACTGATCTTTTATCTAGTAAGTTTTATAAGTGTAATTTTTTTCTAATAGTGTATAGATTCTCCTGGATTTTCTAAGTAAATAAGAGCATAGAATGCAAATAATAATCTGTTTATTCCTTTTCAGTCTTTCTGCCACTTACATATCTAGCACAATGTTGAAAAGTGGTAAGAGTTGGCATATCAGCCAATTGCCAGAATCAGACTGTTGCTATTAATTTTTGCATGTCTATTACTGCCTTGTAATATGAGGTCCTCAAGATAGGGGCTGGTACTTCTTCCCTCTAGGTCAGTGATTCAGGATCCTCAGGCTCCTGAGTATGGTCTCTGTGTGCAGTCTCCCTTGTATAGTAACCCTCCATAATGTGTGCTGAACTGAGTCAAATGTCACATCTGTGCCGATTTTCTAAGCTTCTGCAGGCACTGTTATTTGATCTTTGTATTCCCAGGTTGGTTTTGTTTTTGGAGGCAGGGAAGGCATTGCTTTATTTTTATTGAGGTATATCATATTTTATTGAGTGTATATATTGTAAGTATAAAACCAAATAAACTTGCACAAACTTAAAACTGCTGTGTAATCATCATTAGATCAAGAAACAAATATTCCAGCTGTTGATGAAAAGAGTCAGACTCTGTAAAATATTTAAAGAGGTTTATTCTGAGTCAAATATAAATGACCAAGGCCCAAGGTACAGTCTCAAGAGATCCTGAGAACATGTGCCCAAGGTGGTTGGGTTATAGCTTGGTTTTTATACATTTAGGGAGACAAAAGATATTAATCAATACATGTGGGATATATACTAGTTTAGTTGGAAAAGGCAGGACAAACTCAAATCAGTGGGGTGGAGTAGGGGAGGGGTCATAGGTCATAGGTGGATTCAAAGATTTTCTGATTGACAGTTGGTTGAAAGAATTAAGTTATTGTCTAAAGACCTGGAATCAATAGAAAGTCTGGTCAAGATAAGGAGTTGTGAAACCAGGGATCCTATGCAGATGAAGCCTCATAAGGCACCAACCTTTTGGGAATCACCTTTTCATTTTATTTTATTTTTTTAAAAAGGGCTTAAGTCTCATATAGCAGAGTCCTCCCAACAAATATTTCTGAGGCATTTGGGGTAACTTATTCTCCTACTCACCTCTTGGTCCATTTTACTCTGAATGCTTTCTTTACCCTGTGTCTCACGCCTCTTTGCTGTCCTCTTCTCTCTCAGCCCACATTAACCCCACTTGCAAACCATTCTCCTTTTCTTCACTCTCCTACCCCTCAGTATACCTGAACACCACAGTGAACAACAGTATGTATCACAGGCTTTGAGTGGGAATCTGGGGCAAAGGAGGGAGAAGCAATGGGAAAAGGGGAGAGGGTTTCACCACTGCTCTGCCAATATCCTTGTTATCAAAAATTCTTAGGCTGTCACCCCAGAGGGTCTCCCTGGCACTGTTTTAGCCTCAGGCTCCAGCCCTTCAGTGGCCAGGATTTCTGTCACCTTTTCCCTGGATTTCTTCTCCACTGGTGTTAGTGTATCACCCCTCCCCCACTTCCCCTTCGTCATTCTGATGCAAATCCCAAATTCTCCTCACTTTATTATCTAAAACATTTCAAATCCCTTCCCTGTCGTGGGCCATAGCTCTTAACACTCAAATGGCTTATCTAAGATTAAATAAACAAAAAAGTTTTCTTCTCGGAATTGTGCTACCAGCCATTAAAATGATAACTTTCCCCCTGCTCCACTATATGAATTAAAGGAATACAGTCCAAAGGCTAGGACTTAGAAACCACTTTCCTTTTATTGATAGCTTAAACCTAAGGAAGTGTGAGTCCTGAAAGCAAATATGCCTAAATGGCACCAAAGTCAGCTCCTAGGGTCACCACCTGTATGTTTCAGGACTCTCTCCCTTGTCCCCCATCACTCTCCCCACCCCTTCTGCTAAATCAGATGTTAACATCCTCATCTGCAGGCCCCAGGGACAGACACTCAAGTGGTTATTGCTAAGGATGTGGCACACCAAGCTCAATGCTATTAGGACATAGTTTCAGCTATTTGGGGTTTACACAGCATTCTTTGCCAACTTCATTGAAAACATGTTTTCATGAGAATTCATCTCATTCTACCTACTGCTGGCTAAATTTATCTCCACAGAGTTTAACAACATGGAATGATTAATTAGGGACCAAGCTATTTCCTGAGTGCTTTGCACATAACTGTGATTCTGTGACTCTGTGATTCACTCTCGTTGCTTCAGCCATCTGTCCCTGAACAAAATGCATTTATTTATGTTTTCTGTGATTTGTTGTTCTCCTCTTTCAAAGACATAAACATGATTGATTTGGAAAAGCAAAATTGTTTTTTCCTCTCTTTATAAAATAGTTTTAATTAAAACACAGCTAGAGCAATCCGAATAAAACATAATCAGGCCACTCCTGCTCATATCTCTAGTGGCGTCTCATCTCTAAATGAATGCCGACGCCTTACAATGACCTGCTGGGCCCCATAGGATCCATCCACCCCTACACACACATTATCTTATCTCCCTCCACTCTCCCTGAAGGCTTCATGCCAGCTCACAGGTACGCTCCAGCTCAGGGCCGCTGCACTTGCTTATCCCTCTTTTTGAACCATCTTGCCCATTGCCGCCTCCATAACTGCCTCTACTTCCTTCAAACGTCATCTTCTAGGTAAGCCTTTCTTGGGCACTGTATCTTAAACAGAAGCCACCGTCACCCGTTCACGCCCACACGCACACTCACACATATTCTACATCCCTTTCTTCCTTTTTTTGCCTTAGCATTTCCACTAACATACCATCCATTTGACTTATTTGTGAAGTTTATTTTTTGCTTCCCTACCAAAAAAAAAAAAAGTAAGCACCATGGGGGCTGGGGGTTTTGTCTGTTTTATTTACTGTTCTATCTCCAGCACCTAGAATAATATAATTATGTTGAGCACATAATAGGTGCTCAACAAATATTTCTTGAAAGAATAAGTGAAAGAGTAGACCTAAAATTAAAAAGAATCGAAAGAGTAGACCTAAAAATAGGTCCCATCGTGTTGATTCCTTCTCATTATTCAATAGCTCTATTCAGCCACCAATCGTCTCTATCCACCCTATTTAAATAGCACCACTGTAAGTCATTCTCTATGCCTTTATCCTGATTTATTTCTTCATAGCATTCACTACTGTCAATTTTCTTTTTCTTTTTTTTTTTTTTTTTTTTTTTTGAGACAGAATCTCTCTTCCTCGCCCAGGCTGGAGTGCAGTGGTGCGATCTTGGCTCACTGCAACCTCCGCCTCCGGGTTCAAGTTAGTCTCCTGCCTCAGCCTCCTGAGTAGCTAGGAGCTGGGATTACAGGCACACGCCACTGCGCCCAGCTTTTTTTTTTTTTTTTTTTTGAGATGGAGTTTCACTCTTGTTGCCCAGGCTGGAGTGCAATGGCATGATCTCGGCTCACTGCAACCTCTGCCTTCAAGTGATTCCTGGGTTCAAGTGATTCTCCTGCCTCAGCCTCCTGAGTAGCTGGGATTACAGGCATCTGCCACCACACCCAGCTAATTTTTTGTATTTTTAGTAGAGACAGGGTTTCACCAGGTTGGCCAGGCTGGTCTTGAACTCCTGACCTCAGATGATCCACCTGCCTCAGCCTTCCAAAGTGCTGGGATTACAGGCATGAGCCATTGCACCCAGCCCAAATTTCACTATTGAATTATTTTTTACTTTAAAAATTATTTGTCTTGCCCATTTGAAGGTAAGCTCCATGAGGGCAAATAATTTGTCCTGTATCTCCTCAGCTTAAAATGTTTTTATTTTTTCCTTAACATCAAAAATCATTTGACCATATATTTTTGGGTCTATTTCTGAATTATTGATTCTATTCAATTGATTTATATGGGTGTCCTTTCTCCAATATCGCATTGTCTAATGTATAACTTTGTAATAAGTTAGAAATCAGGGAATATATTAATTTCTCCTAAAAATCTTACCGGGATTTTTACTGTGATTGCTTTCAATCTATAAATCATGTTGCGGAAAATTGATGTCTCAACAATACTGAGTCCAATTCACTGGAGGGATATACATCTGAAGATCCCACAAGCAATGGGAACTCATGTCCTATTGCCCAGCAGTACCCTGAAATGGTGACAAGAACTGCATGGGGAAGTAGCTTTATGATTTTAAGTCTCATCAGAGATGGCTTTGCACCAATATTTTAACCTGGTTAAAATATCTCTCAGTCCAAATAAAGAAATCCAAACCAGAATCAGTTTCACCTAGAAAATTAAACTCTTTTAATTGCTGATACTGCCCAGAAGTACATGAGGTTTAGCAGTTCTCTAAAAGCTTTTGAGCACCTGAATAATCACTTGGGTTATCTAAAATACAATGGGGTTTGTAATCTGACTGATTTGGCTTAGAATAAAAGAGCTCATAAAAATGGACTGCTTTCAGCAGTTTCCAACCTGCATGAGGATAAATTCAGATAATGAAGAAACACAGAGTAGAAAAAAAGAAAAAAGAAAAAGAAAATTTTCCTGACATTGTCTTAATTAGTCCTCAAAGTTAACAGTAGCTACAGTTCAGCTACTGCCACTTCATGAATCTATACCCACTGTATTAGGGGCCACTTTATTTACTCTCTAGCTCAACTGTCTTTTTTTTTTTTTTTTTTTTTTTTGAGACAGAGTCTCGCTCTGTCGCCAGGTTGGAGTGCAGTGGTGCAATCTTGGCTCACTGCAACCTCCGCCTACCAGGTTCAAGCAGTTCTCCTGCCTCATCCTCCTGAGTAGCTGGGACTACACGCGTGAGCCACCACGCCCTGCTAACTGTTGTATTTTTAGTAGAGACGGGGTTTCACCATGTTGGTCAGGATGGTCTTGATCTCTTGACCTCGTAATCTGCCCACCTCGGCCTCCCAAAGTGCTGGGATTACAGGCGTGAGCCACCGTGCCCGGCTGGTCTCTTCTTTATCGTGGCCATAACCTGGCCAGTGTTCCAGCTAGCACAACTTCATTTCCTAAATCAAGCTATTTTATTTATATTATTTATTTCTCAAGCAATAAATGCCAAACCTCAGTTGGAATATTTTTTGAAAAAAAAAAAAAAAAAAAAAGGCGGCTAGGAGCCATGGCCCATACCAGTAATCCCAGCATTTTGGGAGGCTGAGACAGGCAAGAAGATTGCTTGAGGCCAGGGTTGGAGAGCAGCCTGGTCAATGTAGGGAAACTTCATCTCTACAAAAAATAAATAACTTAGCCAGCTGCGGTGGCCCGTGCCTGTAATCCCAGCTACTCAGGAGGTAGAAGTGGGAGGAACCCTTGCGCTCAGGTTAAGGTTTGCAGTGAGCCATATCTTGCCACTGCACTCTAGCCTGGGCAACAGAAGGAGACCCTAAAATCCACATGGCTCTTTTCTTTGCCTCTTTTGGGTGAGGCTTTCATGGCCACCCTATCTAAAACCACAATGACCCAAATACTACTTATCCTCCTTCCCCACTATATTTTTTCCAGTAGCGCCTACCGTATCATATACTTTATTTACCTAGTTTTTTTCTACTTACACTGAAATATAAACTTTTTTTGGAGACGGGGTCTCCCTCTGTCGCCTAGGCTAGAGTGCAGTGGCGCGATCTCGGCTCACTGCAACCTCCGCCTTTCGGGTTCAGGATTCTCCTGCCTCAGCCTTTTGTGACCTTTTATGGCCTTTTGTGACTGGCTCTTTTCACTTCACATATTGTCTTCAAGATTCATCCACACTGTAGCAATGTTTCAGTACTTCATTCCTTTTTATGTCTGAAAAACATTCCATTGAATGGATATATCACATTATCCATTCATCAGTTAATGGACATTTGCATGTTTCCAGCAGAAGTACTAGCTACTTACGAGGTTGAGGCAGGAGGATAGCTTGAGCCCAGGGAGCCTGGGCAACATACTGAGATACCATCTCAAAATATATACATATATACATGATTTTATTAAAGAGCTGAGCAACTGTCAGTTCCACACCATGGAATCTTGAATAAATCAAGCCTAAGACTCACTGCCATTAATTTAATCAGGAATCCGATTAAAACCTGTGTTCAGAACTCACGTAACTCATTTCCATCAGTGGTTAAGTGGATTTTAACAGCAGCACTGTCAAGGAACCACAAATGGCAAGGCTGCAGCAGGGATGGTTGGAAGTACTGGAGAATTCTGGGTTTGTCAGATGAACAAGCATACAATTTTGAGGAGAAGGCTGTAAGAAATCATGAAACTTTACAGAGTGTGGTGATATAATTTGTCTCTCAACCACAGAGGAAATGAAAGTGTTGAGGCAGAGGCATTTATGCTTTAAATTGATAAGTGCAATGATTATCCAGCTAAAGTTGAACTGATGGTTTTATTATTTAATTATTCTGAGGGGAAAAATGAATGCACACACTTAAGTTAATATCTAGTCATTCATTCCGAAGTGTGTAAACACTTAGAATTATTCAATTTTGATAAAGATATAATCAAAAGTGAAGAGAGATTGTGCAGTCTCCAAGTGTGCTCTTCTCCAAATGAGCAATCTCAGGATTAAGACCACTTTGCCTATGTGCCTCGTATTGACCACAAATAAATGTTTCAAAATGGTCATCTATTAATTTTCCTTGGGAACTGACTTTTCTTATGGCCATTTTATAGTTATGTTGGTATTATCAAATTTTTATTTCTATTTCTATTAAAAGTTTAACTTTACACTTAGCTTGGCAATGCAAAGAAATAACTAGCTTGATTTCTTTACAATCTGGCTGCCTAAATCCACTAGTAAAACATCAGATCTTTCCCAAATGTTTTGTGCATAAGGAGGACATATTATTCCTTAAAGACTACTTTCTATTAGTGCATTCTTTTCTGTAGTGTGCAAAAAGACTCTTCAAAATATGTAGAGCACTTTTCTTAAGGTGTCAGGTTTTTTTCTTTTCCAATACAGCTTTTCCAATCTTCCATGTCCACCATGGGGAGTGTCAGCCACAGAAATTAAGGCCTGGATTCCTTCCAGTCAGCACAACATTCCTGAACTGTTTCTCTTCAACTACAGCAAGTACAGGCTTCAAACTGGTCAGATTCACATTAAGATTATACAGACAAAAACACTGGGAAAATTAACTTGCTGATCTCCTTTCCAAATGTAACGTACCGCAAAGTAAAATATAAACTTTTTCATTTAATAATGTACATAAAAGCCTTTGTTAAAATGTCAATAACAAGTTTTATTTACAAAGTAATCGTCCTCTCACATCACATTTGGGGTTACATGTATCACTGTTGTACGCTGGTAGCATGGCTATTTGAAAGATTATAATTTATGAGCTATTACTCAGTGGGATTTTTGCAATAAGGTACTTCATGAGACAAAATGGAAAAAGGAGAATTAAATTAAAATGCACAACTAATATTTATCTACTACAGACATAATATTTCTCAGTTGTGAACTAATTACTATGCTTGGAAAATGCTAGCATCCTCATAAATATTTTGGTTCTATTGGGATACAAAATCTGATTTCGCAAACTTTGCAAAGGCACATTTTGGCTGGGCACAGTGGCTCAGGCCTGTAATCCCAGCACTTTGGGAGGCAGAGGCGGGCGGATCATGAGGTCAGGAGATCGAGACCATCCTGGCTAACACGATGAAACCCGTCTTTACTAAAAATACAAAAAAATTAGCCAGGCGTGGTGGCGGGAGCCTGTAGTCCCAGCTCCTTGGGAGGCTGAGGCAGGAGAATGGCGTGAACCCGGGAGGCGGAGCTTGCAGTGAGCCAAGATCGCACCACTGCACTCCAGCCTGGGCAACAGAGCGAGACTCTGCCTCAAAAAAAAAAAAAAAAAAAGAAAAGAAAAGGCACATTTTGTGACACCACCTAAGCATTTCCCTGAGAACATAAAGAAGGTTATTAACATAATGAACTATTTCAGCCTTGAAAACAGTATTCATTGAGGAGATACCTCAGAGGTAAGGACTTCCTTAGGACAGTAAGAAAAATCTATGAGTTCTTAAGTGGAAGAAAAGAAACAACTATGAAAAGCAGGACCAGCTCAGAACTCCTCCTGAGGAAGAGATGAGGTATGACAGGATTTTCCCTGTCCCAAAATATTGCTATCCTTCTATAAGCTGCTGGAATCTTTCTTCATTCCGTTCTCCCATTCTCTGTGAATGAGAATCAGTGGGTTATGAGGCATTCTCTAAAAACGCAGGTGCAGCAGTCATGGGAATGGCAGTCGGCCCAATGCAGGTGTCAAAAGGAATTTCAGATGTGGAGAAGATAATCACAAGGCATTCTTTCTGTGATGAAGTGTGATCTGCTTTCTTCTCAGCACCACATGACATCAGCTGTACTTAGAGAACTGACTAATGGGAGGAGAAGGGTGGGTGACTCTGGAATATGAAGAACCTCAGGAGGGAGGATGGAGCCCAGTGGGAAGGTTCTCAGTTGGGAGAGGTGAACAAAACTCCCAGGAGTGTACCTGGATCTCAAGGGCATTAGGAGGTGAAAATGAGTGGAAAAATTAAAAGGAGAAAGACCTTGTTCTTAGGAAAAGGGGTGGAAAGTTGCACTGTCCTTCCTCCAAACTACTCACACTACCCTGTCTCAGAGACCCAAAACTCAGGCAGGCACCTTCAGTATCACAGGTTAGGTATATTAGAGTTGAACCTGTTGAGGGAGGCTTGGCCTGGGAACTCAATCACCAATTCATAGTATTGTTTCTGTGGAAAAGTGTCTCAAAGTCTGCTTGTAACCCACTTGTTTGAAACATGATAAAGAATCCCTTCATAAGATTATTTACTTGTGGCCAATTTTGGAAGTGCAATCTCAGTTTTCGACTATAGTCACTATGCTCTGAATCTCCAAATATATTGTACAATATATAAAAAAAGAGCCTTTTATAAGGAAAAAAATGTCCAACATTTGTGTCACCATGATCAAACTTTTGTATTATATATTCAGATATAGCAATATTTCCTATTAATATTTACTGTTTAAATGATATTTAGGCACTGCAGAATAGCTCTCTTTTCAGACATAGAGCAAATCTAATAATCTATCACTTCAAATACTCTATATGCAAGTACTTTATATCAATCTAAAGATACAATCAAGAGGTAATGCTTTAAGGCTACATATGAAGGCTACCTTGGTTATTGAAAATGTGTATAAGCAACAAAAACACTTTTGCAAAATGTAGTAGAAATGAATCATTATTGCCATCTTAGAAAGAAAAGCTATTGCACACCAACTAGACATTCAAGATGGTATCCTAAAACTTATTGCTACTGTTCTGTTAGGACAGATTATTGCTCAAAACTGCCCATTTTAAAACATCAAGAAATTCTCTCATTTTTGTTATCTTTTCAGGCAAGGCAACATCACAAAAAAATTTTAAAGTTAAACTTTTAAAGTTAAAAGTGAAATTTATTACAATACAATAAATGCAAGTGTCATTATTAAAAATGCCGGTTAAAATTATAAAGTATCTAAATAATTTTTCTAATATAAATATTGGAAATGACAACTTTAACAATTCTATATGTACACAGGACACTGAAAACATAAAATCATGAACAAGGCCAAAAAATAACGTTGCACATTAACCCTTTAGTTATTACTTTCTATTTTCCAGTCCCAGCATCATACCTGCTAATTACTCAGATCACAAGCCTCAAGGATTAAGTGTTTTGAATGTATTTCAGTTTCATACTTTAACAATGCTTAAAGACTATTGGTTGTATTCTGATCAAATGGTTCTCCTTCCCATATTTCCCTTTCTCAATAGATCTTAGACAAAAAGGTGAGCAGGGAAAACTGTGATTACAGGATCCAACATGACAGGTATACCCAATGATTCATTTAAGGGTGGCATAAAGTTATATAGAAAAGACCTACAGGACGGAAGACAAGTACATCAACACGTAGTGAAATTAAGCAGTTCACCCACTGCGTGCTTACATGGCTCCTATATCTCTTCGGGAAGAAGCCAGAGCCGTAGAGAAGTCAGGGCAAACCAGAACTGTTGAGGAGTAGGGGTGGGGGGCAGAGGGAAGGAGCTGGGGAGAAGTGCCAGATCATAAAGGAAATGTAAAAGAGTTACCTATCTGTTCTCCCCCTCCTGCTAACGCAGGGGCTGGCTCGAGCCCAGCCTCCCTGCCCGCATCTCAGTGGAGCTCTTCCCCCAGCATTGTCTTTCAGATGAAAAGATACATCTGTTCCCCACTGAGATGTTTTTTTGGGGGAGAGAGTATGTTTTGTTTTTTATTTTGATTATATATTGACAAATTATTGTATATTTTTATAGGGTACAATACGGTTTTATGATTTTTGAATATAAGGTGGAATGATTACACTAATTAACATATGATCTCAAATATTTAACTTTTTTATGAGAACATTAGAAATTTACTCTCTTAGCAATATTGAAATATACATTCAATTATTCCTATATTTAGCATGCTGTGCAAGTGATCTTTAAAAAAAAATCACACTTATTCCTCCTAACTGAGGCTTTGTACCCTTTGACTGTCTCCCAATTCTGAGAACACTTTTCATAAATTTGAGGAACTGCCTAAATATTATAGGCTTGAACATCTGAACTTGTCCTCAGCATGAAAGCAGGTGAGACTTTTTTTTTTTTTTTAAACAAATGAGCAGGTAACACCCAGAGAGGTTAAGTGGTTTAGCCACTGGAAAGATAAGGAAGTTGGGTGTGATGTTTACTTCTCTATGATGATGCTTCTCAAACTTTCATGTGCATACAACTCCTTTGGATCTCATCAAAATGTCCTGGGTCCAGAGTGGGGCTTCAGATTCTGCATTTCTAATAAGGCTCTAGGAAATGTTGAGGCTCTTGGTCTGTGGGCCACACTTTTAATAGCATGGACTACAACACAAAGAGGGATCCACCCCGGCCTTCCTGGGTCATGAGAGGCCTGCTTCAGCGTTATCTGCCTCTCCAAGCACATCCCCAAGCAAAAGGTTTCGATGCACTGCATAAGGTGGCAGCTGCCTACAAGACTGCGTTAATATATTTTCTGAGAGCA
This sequence comes from Homo sapiens, assembly GCF_000001405.40. Classification (NCBI taxonomy): domain Eukaryota; kingdom Metazoa; phylum Chordata; class Mammalia; order Primates; family Hominidae; genus Homo; species Homo sapiens. The sequence goes on along the minus strand of NC_000001.11, from coordinate 65,432,163 downwards.
CCGTGACTACATGAACAGCCAAACAAGTAACATAATTTGAGTAACATAATCTAAATTTGACAGGTCTATTTGCTGAGAATAAAACTCATCTCCTACTTATGAAGTCTTTCTTAAAGTGAACATGATATATAAAGGTATTAAAAAACCCAGCATATTAAATTTCATAGTAAAATGCCGCATGTGCACATGTATACAGATAGTATGAGTTCTAAGAAATTCAATGCACTGTAATCAGAATAAAGTGCTACCACTGCTCCCAGCTAAAATCATCTCCTCTTCCAAATATAAGGAAAAACCCTTGAATTGTAAGGAAAATGACTGCATTGCCTGCCAACACAAGGCCGCAGGCTCCCCATTTGATCTGAAAGACAAGAAAAGAAGGATTAAATCCTTACTTCCTTCATATTGTACTCTTTGCAATCCCTATTATTTTCTGCATTAGAAACATCCAATGAAATGTTACACAAAGCTGCTAAAAGGCTTAATAATGTAACAGGAGACAATGAACTGTTCAGTAATGAGTCTAATTACTTCTGTGATGCTTGTTAATTAAGTCTGGTATCATCCTTAACATGTTCCCAATTAGACATATTTCTCTACTTGTTTTTAATTGACAATGATTGCCTTAAGTAAAACTCAAGTGGTAAGATTATAAATAGTGCAATTACAATATTGGGTACTGAAAGTTCTGCACACATCAACTTCTTTCATGGAAAATAAAAATTGTAGAGTTATAAATTTGTGTGTTTCTTTTCTAGGCAAGAAAAGACTTTAAATAATAGTCTTCATACAACTGAAAACTGCTTTCCAGCTTAGTAGATGGTTTGTAGATGGTTTTACAGAAGCACATTTGGGGGTGAGAGTACCCTCTAGTGGGCATTTTTTGTTTTACTTTAAGCAAGAGAAACATCAATGAAAGTTTCTTCACAAAATATGATGGCAGTATTGAAAGGAAAAAATATAAATATTTACTGCAGCGCTTAAGAAGGGCTGGTCTAAAGCACAAGAAAAATAAAGTCATGACAATCTTGTTGTATTCAAAAACCTTCAATCTTTCCCCATTATCTAGACAAAGATCAAACTGGCATGGGGTTCAAGACCATTGCTAATCAGGTTTCACAACCCTTCCAGCCTTAACCTCAACAACTTTCTTTTAGCTCTACCACACTGGATTCTTCTTTATTCTATATACTGCATTCTTACACTTGAATGTCATTCCATACAACAGCCATCCTACCTCAATACAAATGCTATTTATCCTTAGAGGCCCATATCAAATGCCAGTCGGAATTTCTCTCTTCTTGGTGCCCCTATGGCATTCTGATCATGCTTCAACCGTCTCACTTAGTACACTTATAGTATACTTACCCAGCAAGCTAGTTTCTGTGTTCCTCAGGAGCAGAGACAGTACCTATTTCTTATTTCTGGTGTTTTACAAGTAGCAGTTGTTGCAAAGATATTTATTGAATGAACAAGACTTGCGCTTATCTGATATTCAATGCCTCAAATAAGAGTTTCATAAAATTAAAATAGAACGTAATTGGAGGGAATAAAATCAAATAGTAGGAAAGACAGTGAATAGCAAATAATTGAATAAATTATACCTACAATGTGTACTCTGAAGACAAAAAGAAAGTTTTTGTCTTGGAAGTGAAGATGTCAACTTATTCACTGCATTTTCTGGAAGCTACACAGTTGTCCCTCAACATATACCTATTATACTGAGTTGAGAGTTGAGTCCATGATCCCATTTGCAGGAGAAGAATTTGAAATATCTTCATCTTGCAACTAGAAAAGTACTGCTAGCATAGTATCTGTGGATTACTGTAAGATTTAAGAGGCAGGAATTTAAGAACAATTCCAGAGAATAGCTTAAAGTAGAAAAAGTAAGAAATCATATCGTCTGGCTAAAAGTTGTAAGAGAAATAAAGAAAGCACTCTGAAGGCATGGCCGAACTACTGTTAGGCAGGTCTAAAGTAGAGGAACAGAGAAACTAAAAACACACGGCCTTGAGTATAAAGCCTAAGTAATGAGCATGAAATGGAGGTCCCAGACACAGGCCTCTGAAGTAAACTCAGCAACGGTTGGGCAAAACAATAGAAAATAAAACTTACCACAGCCACACGAGCAAGAATAACAGGAAATCCAAAGGCAGAAACAACAATTCCAGTAGTGAAGAAATATGCCAGTTCCCGACAGGCACTACTGGTTGCATCTGAGTCATAGGTGACTCTTTTGGCAATGAAATGGGGGATGGGGGAGATGGCGTGGAAAATCAGGACGAATAAGGGCCAGTAAACGCTGTCAGTTGGACCCAGGCAAAATCCAAAAAGAAAAGTAACAGTTACATTTTAAATGAAAGACATACTACTATTTCAAAATCATTGCTATTTTAAATGTTTAGGTCAAAAAATTAATTAATTGTGAATATTAGAACATAAGATGATTTCTACCAGGGATAGATAAGTAGTGATAATTTTAAAATTACTATGTAGGTAGCTTATATTGTGTTAAGAAGCCACTATATAATATATACCCTAGAAACTTTACTGTTTTCTGTACCACTGAGCCACAATTTCTTTAAAGACAGAATTTTAACTTGGTCATTTCTGCCTTCCCTATAGAACATAGTAGAGTGTCTTGCAAAAGCTAGTTCGGTAAAGATCTTTTGAGTGCACGCATGCTTGAAACCTTTTAAGAGCTTAGAATAAACCCTAAATTCCTTGCCCTAGCCTACAAAGCCTTTATGGTCTGGTATTATCTACTTCTTCCATTCATTTTGTACTCTTTTCCCTTCATTTGCTTAATCTGTAGCCACACCAGCCTTTTTTCTGTCCCTTGAACACTCTTGAGCTCATAGCTGTTATCCTGGGGCCTTTGCGCTAGCTGTGCCCCCTGCTTGCAATGTCCTTCCCCATGATCTTCTCATTGGCTGACTCCTTCATACCATGTGATCTAAACTGACAGATTCCTTTCTAAAAGCAGAACTTTCCCTGGTCATCTATTCTAATGTACCCCAGGTCACCCTCGAACATACCACCCTCTTTGAACTTTCTGCACAACACTTATTCCCATCTGATAGATTAGTCTTGATCAAACGCCATTTATCTCCAGGGCCTAGAATGATGTACTCCATTTATACTTGTTAAATGAATAAAATAATAAATAAATTTTAAGTACGGAAGGCATGAAAATAAATATGCTCACTAGTGAAAAGCTTAGATGTACTTTGATCTTCATTATAAGAGCTCACAATTAATAGTGTAATGCAAAAACAAAACAAAACTGTTTTCCTCCCAAATTTCAACATTTTGCAATTATAAAAAAAAAATTGCCATCTGGTTTCCAACAGTATTTTCTCTATCAGTACTTCAAAAATAATCTTTTTTTCTCCATCAGACATTTCTTATGCTTCATTTCTTAAGAAAAAAAAAGTCTCTGCTCATTTTTATATATACACTACAATAATTCATATCACCACAATACTGTAATCACACAGATACGCCCAGACAGCACCTACAAGCAGGAGTTGGGATGAAGCCACACTAATGAAAGCCTCCCATTCCAGCCACAGATCTAGGCAACCAAAAGGCAAGAAGGGAATGTGTCCTTCAAGAGGACTCAGGATGGAAACAGTGGATTTGGACCCCTGATTTTAAACTAGAGGGATGATAGTATGTTTCAAGAATCACCAAACAATATTGTGGGAAGTAGCCCTTAGACATTCTCTACTTCAAAGCCCTTCTTTCAACAGTGAGAAAGGAGACACAGAGAGGGGAAGGGGTTTGGAATAGATATGTCACCTTACATATCCACAGCCAAGAACTCTTAATTTTTCCTGGAATACAGTGACAGTTTTGTGAAAAACAATCTGACTCTATGTTTTCATTCATAGTAAGCCACCGATATCCAACTAAGAGAAATATTAATGTACAAGAAACCTTGTTTATATATAAAATGTAAATATTAAATATATACAATTCAATAAATACATAGGCCAGGGGTGGGCCAACTTTTTCTATAAAGGGCCAAAGAGTAAATAACGAGGATCTGCAAGCCATAAAGACTATCTCAACTACTCAACTCTGCCAAAGATAATTGGCAGAGCAATGCAAAAGCAGCCAAAGATAATTCATAAACAAATGAGCATGGCTGTATTTCAATAAAACCTTTATTACAAAAACAGGTAGCAGGTTATATGTGGCAGTTTGCTGACTTCCAATATAGATGATAATCCTGGTTCACTATCAAGATACAGCTTTGGGAGGCCAAGGCAGGAGGATGACTTGAGGCCAGGAGTTCAAGACCAGCCTGAGCAACACAGAGAGACTCGGTCTCTACAAAAACTTCTAAAAAAAATCAGCTGGGTGTTGTGGCATCTCTAAAAAACAAAAAATTAAAATAAAGATAGAAAACAAACTTATTTGTAGTAGCAGTAATGAGTCATTTTCTTACCTTACAAAGACAGTGTATCACAGAGAATTAAAACTCCTAGATTTACAGTTGGTTGTGGAATAGTGGAAAAACGTTTGGTCAAGGGCGTCAGAACATGAGCTCCATTTCCATGTCTGCCATTTTAATTTTTTTTCTACTTTTTTATTTAAGAGACAAAGTCTCACTCTGTCGCCCAGGCTGGACTGCAGTGGTGTGATCACAGCTCACTGCAGCCTCCAACCCCTGGGCTCAACCAATCTTCCCACCTCAGCCTCCCAACCCTGCTACAGGCACCATGCCTGGCTTATTTTAGTTTTTTGTAGAATGGGGTCTCACTTTGTTGCCCAGACTGGTCTCAAACTCCTGGCTTCAAGCAATCCTCCTACCGTTGCCTCCCAAAGTGCTGGGATTATAGGCATGAGCCACCACGGCCGGGCTCTGTCACTTACTGCTGTTCAATCTGGGTAAGTCTTTAACTACCCTGGGCTTTGGTTTCCCAGCGAGAAATGAGGATAATAATACCGTATTACATTCCAAAAGCTAGAATAAAGTAATTGCTGTGAAGGCTCTAAACAAATATAAGTGACCGCTTATATCTGGATCCCTCTTGGGTTTAAACAATTTCTGTAATAGTTGGCCAGGACTGCGGTGATGGATTTGAATTCATCACTGTCATAATAACTCACTTCAATAGGTCTTAACCACATCATCATCATCTTTTTTTTTTTTTTGGAGACAAAGTCTTGCTCTGTCGCCAGGCTAGAGTGCAGTGGCACGATCTTGGCTCACTACAACCTCCACCTCCTGTGTTCAAGCAATTCTCCTGCCTCAGCCTCCTAAGTAGCTGGGAATACAGGCGTGTGCCACCACGCCCAGCTAATTTTTTGTATTTTTAGTAGAGATGGGGTTTCACCATGTTGCCTAGGATGGTCTCGATCTCTTGACCTCGTGATCTGCCCGCCTCAGCCTCCCAAAGTGCTGGGATTACAGGCGTGAGCCATGGTGCCTGGCCTAATCACATCATCTTCTATCTAGTTGTTCAAGCCAATCACCTGGGAGACATCTAAGAACTCTCCCTCCTTGTTGAATCCTGACATCGATGAACAAAACCTGTTGGTTGGTTTGGTTTCCTAACTCACTCTCCTTTTCTTTCCATTCCTACTGCCCCAGCCCTCAATTTTGCTTGATTTATGATAGTAGTCCCCTACTATTCTCCCTGACTGCAGTCTCAGCTCTTTCCTATCTAGTCTCACGTTATGGCAAGAATGACATTTTAACATAACCCCCTCCTCCAAACCCATTCTCAAGATATTTTCCCAGGTTCTATTGTCTGATGTATAAAATGGAACCTCCTCTACACGGCAGGCATATAGAGCCCTAAGTGCTGACTTTTACACTCTTGACTAACCCTTCTTTTGCCACTCCACTACAATTTATGCTGTACCATAATGTACCATGTGTGGTTTCCTGAAAAGGCTATATACACTTTCATGTCTCCGGGCCTTAGCATTCAGCTTTCCTGGTGCCTAAAGTGCTTTTTCCCTAGAGATCTGTATGGCCTGCTTGCTGATTTTCTTGACATTTCTTCTCACTTTTTACCTCCTCTGAGAGGCCCTCCCTGACCACTGTCTTCCCAGCTTCTGTGCTCTTCATCTTTTGTACCATTTCTACCTCTGACAGTATGCATACTTTTGTTGTTTACTGTCCGTCTCCCCCACTGAAACACAAACTCTGAGAGAGCAGGACCTTTGTTTTCTTATGTCTTAATCCCTAGTTCCCATAACAGTAGCTGGCACATGGGAAGCATTCAACCAACAATGGTTGAATGAAAAAATGTGTAGAATGTTCCCTCTGCCTGGAATGTCCTCCCCTGACTCATCACCCTGAAAAACTCTTATTCATCCACCTAGTCTTGGCTCAGATACAACCTCTGCCATGCAGCCTTCCCTGACTGTCCCACTGAAACTCAGGTGCACTTTATCCGAGCTCCAGCGTACTGTGCTGGCATCTCCACTGCAGCTGCCAGATTACTGACTAGACCGTTTGCCTGTCTCTCACTCACAACTAGAACTTTACCTCCTCTTTGAGGACAGGACTCTCTCTTCATTTGTGTGTCCCCAGCTAGTCCAGAGTAGGTGTTAAACAAATGCTTATGGAATGAATACATCAATTTTTAACAGAGCCCTCTGCAAAAGTACACCTGACCCACAAAGGGACTGTGTTCATAAACTGGGCTCCACTAACTCACTGGTTAGAACTTGGTGCTAAATTGACCGAACTCTCTAACACCCATACTAATAGTGACAAAGACACAGAAAGAGGAATAGTTCTTTTTGAAATGATAACTTACCCATAATCCTCTAAGGCACATCCCAGCATAAGAAAAGTCAGTCCAATAGCCCCACTGAAGGATAATGCCACGAGAGCTGTGAAAAATAAAGCCAAAAGTTAAAGTTCCCACAGTAGAGGTTGTCAGGCACTAGAGGGTTTGGGGAAATGGGGAGTGACTTCTAATAGGTCCAGAGTTTCTTTGGCGGATGAGTAAATTTTCTGGAATTAGATAGTAGTGATGGCTGCATAACCTTCTGAATATACTAAAAACCATGAAATCTTACACTTTAAGAATGTTAATTTTATGGTATGTGAATCATTTATCAATAAAAACATTTACTAAAATAAAAAAGAAAGAAAAAAAGGTCCCAAATTCAAGCAAATGTAGCAATTTACTCATTTTATTGAGGTTACATTTGACCCGTTACAGACTGCATTATGTGTGTCCCTTTCAAATTCACATGTTGAAACCTTCCCGGCTCCATCCCTCTCACCGTGAGATGCTATCAGGAGGTGGACCTTTGGGAGATAATTAGGTTCAGATGAGGTCATGAGGGTGGGGTCTCCACGATGGGATGAGTGCCCTTATAAGAAGAGAGAAAGTAGAGCACACACTCTCTCTGTGTTTCTCTCCCTCTGTTCTCCAATGTGAGAGCAGAAAGCAGGCCTGCAAACCAGGAAGCTGGCTCTCACCAGACACCAGATCTGACTGCACCACAATTTTGGACTTCCCAGTCTTCAGAACTGTGGAAACTAAATGTTTGTTGTTTAAGCCACCCAGTCTAAAATATATTTCTTATAGTAGCCCAAACTGATTAAGACAATGACCCATGTCTGCCACCTTGAAATCATAAAGTATACAAAGGTCTCAAGTAATTCCAGTACCTAACCCCTATCCAATGGATGAATTCCCTCTGTATTTGTCACCAGAGGGCAGCCAGTTGGTCCACATAACTCCAGTGAAGGAAAACTCACTACCTCCCAAGGCAAGTCATTTAATTCCAACAGCTTCTAAATGTTGAAAGCCCTCCTTCTTTAAATTATATCCAGAACTGCCTCCCTGTAATATATACCTTTGATCATTTTGCCTCCCCAAACCACAGTACTGCAAGTATTTGAAGATTGTTTTCATGTCTTTGTAGGAAACAATTCCCAACTAGTGTGCACTGAATAAAATATGTATTCCCTGTATCTATTGGACACTAGTCTCTGCGGGAGTAGGAACGTATTTGCCCTTGTTGTGCTGCTGAGTGAGAAACAGAGTATCAAGGTTGTTACAAAATCTTGAGCTCTGAGTCACAAACATGAGTCAAATCTTAACTCTGCCACCATCTGGTCTTATGACTTTGGGTAGAAGCTAATCCTCTGAACCTGATTTCTCACCTGTAAAATGGAAATAATGGTGCCACCTTATTGAGCTTATGGGAATTAAATGAGATAATCTATGTAAAGTGCTTGGCAAAAGGAGGTAGCCAAATAAATGCTGACTGACTCAGGTATCTACTCATTTTAGCAATGTTCTTTGATAAAGGTAGAAATCAAAAGCATAGGAGACTATCTTATCCAAATTTTCTTCTGAAAAAAGTCCATAATACTCATAATTAGTATTAAACTAATTAATTAAGCCAATGAACATTTTTGATTGCTTCCTTTTACTTGAGAGAAGATTTAGAGAGACTCTTTAATAGGAAGGTGCCAAAGTGCTTTTTAAAAAACATCTGAAAGTATACACATGTTAAGGGACAAAGAAACACTGTCAATTTTAACATATCTTTTTACATTTCCACTCTTTAATGGAAAATGCCCATGTGTGGATGGAAAGCAAATACCACATACTATTTCATTCAGATGATCTTTTCCCAGCAGGCTTTGCTCCTCTCCTCTGTGCCTGACCATCGGCAGTACCCCCTCCTCCATGAGGCCTGTCAAAGCTAGGTACTGCAGACCTCTTCCTTCTGTTCTGATACCAGTTTCTCAACGTTCACAACCATCTTTCTGTTTGATTCTTTTTGGTCTTTTTTTTCCTCTTTTTTCAGGAATCACATCCTCTGAATCTCTTAAAGTTGGAGTTGACCAAAAATCCAACCCCATCTCTCTTTTCACTCCACGCACTCCTGCTGAAAACTTATGTTCAACCCAAAGCTCCTACTACCACAAGGGCCCGGCCGCAACTGATGCTCCAGCCCAGAGTAGGTCCTAAAGAACTAGGCCTGTACTTCCACCTCCAGTCTGGACTTCTCTGCCTTGACCGCCAACAAGAACCTCAAATTCAACATGTGTAACACGTGTAAAACCAAACCACTATCCCTACACTTTAAAGGTCCTATCTTAGAGGACTGACACCATGATTGCATTCCACCTTCCAATGAATCAGTAGGTCAAGGTGACTCAATCTCCCAGACTTCTTAAACTCTCTGCTACAGCCCTGGTGCAGGCCCTTAACCTCTTATTCCTGCCTCTGTGACTCTTCCAATCCATCCTCTACACAGCAGACAGTGATCTTTCAACTATATATATCACCGCTGCCATCCCTTTGCGGTTGCTTCCACAGCCTACAAGTTGTTCTGGCACGGAGGCTCACCATCGCCTGACTCACTCCTAACTGCCTGTCCAGCCAGCTTCAACCCTCACCACTAAGTTCTGGTCTTACTAATGTAGCTTAAGTACCTGAAGAGAAGAAGGCATGTTGTTTCATAAGCCCTGCGCCATGTCACGTGCTGTCCTCCCCACTTGGGATATACTCCACCTTCACTCCATGCCTTGCCAAGGGAAGCCACATTGATCCCTTCAGATTCAGTTCAAGCATCGCCTCTTCTGTGAAAACAGTCCTTTCTCTGGAGCAGGGGAATCAATCCCACCTGCATCAGCTTCCTAGGGCTGCCGTTACAAAGTACCACAAACTGGATGGCTGAGAACAACAGAAATTTATCTTCTGACAGTTCTGGAGGCTGGACTTCTGAAATCAAGGTGTCAGCAGCGCCACCACACTCCCTCTGAAGGCTGTAGGGAAGCACCCTTCCTTGCCTCTTCCTAACACTCAGTGGTTGCCAGCATGGTTGCCAACAATCTTTGGTGCTCCTGACTTTGTAGCTGCATCACTCCAATTTCTGTCTCCGTCTTCCCATGGTATTCTCCCTGTATGTCTCTATGTCTAAATTCCCCTCTTCTTATAAGGACACCAGTCATTGGATTAGGGCCCACCTTAAACCAGTTATCATTTTAATTTGATTATATCTGCAAAGATACTACTTCCAAATAAGATCACATTCACAGGTACCAGGGAATTAGAGCTTGAACACATCTTTTTGGAGGACAAAATCCAACCCACCATCTGTTCTCCCACCGCATCTGAGCCCAACATAAACACTGACATAGTAATATAATTATTTCCAGCTCTGTCACCCACCAATAACTTCTCATTTATCTTTGTATCCTAAGTCTCTGGCATACAGTAGTTCCTCAATAAAAGTTGAACAATCTGTAAAATGCTTCCTTCCCTTAGTCCGTTTCCATTTCAGACTTCCTTTTTTTTCACTACATCACAATTTTCTAACACATTCACACATAAACGTGATCATGATTTGGTAGTTTCTGATCATGTGTAGTACTGAGACACTACTTTTCATCTGTTTTCGGCATTGGCTTCAAATGGATATATAACACAGTCGACACTCTCCAAGTAAACCATGTTTACTAAACTGATATTAAGTATAAAAGTCAGCCAGAAATAACGATAAAATGTCTGCTGCTAACAGCTCACATACTCGGATAAATTCATAGTGAACAGAGGCGTACTCGTATATATACTATCTACATGTTTATAGCAGATGTTAACTGGGGATATCTTTGGGTGCAAATTTCAAGGATGATATAAAAGCCAATATAAAAACAAGTCATGCTACTCTATTCGACAGATTAGAAATGGAATGTTTTCCTACCAAAATACAGGAAGCCTTGCAAAAAACCTTTTCCGTCTCGCATTGCTCTGAAGCCATACAGATAAGGGACGCGGTGTTTTTACCAACTGCCCCATGCAAAAAACACATACTACACACACACTGGTTTCTTCTCTGTCCATAAACAGAGAAAACACCGAAGAAAGCAGTATTAAAATTACACGTAATCTACTCTCCACGACTGCGAGAAACACCGTCTTTCTGGGTGCTTTCCATTGACACCCGCCCGCGGTCAACTCTGCCCAGTTGGAAAAATCATTAGGAAAAAGAGGATTAAGTTTCCCAATGCTAAGAACGCTGGAGACAAAGGGTCCTTTGTGGCAAATAGGAAACTGCGGAGGGGCAGAAAACCAGAAGAAAGGCGTTAGGGTGGCGTCAAGAAGTGGAAACCTTGTTTAAAAACTCAGGAGAGGTGGAGGGCGCCGCTCTCGCCGAGGGCTCAGGCTGGGGAGGGGTCTGGTGCCGCCACTGGAGAGCAGGAAGGCCAGCGGCCTTGCAAAAAGGGCCAAGGCTCCCCCGAAACGCCGCTCCACCCACACCCCAAGGGACGAAGGGAGCGGTCGATCGCCTCCCGAACCGGAGAGGCGGGAAGGGTGGTGAGGCCGTTCCCCAACGGCGCGCGGAAGGCGCAGCCCCAGGCTTGACCGGAACGGAGGTGGCAACCCCACCACACGACAAGCGAGCCGGGGACCGCGATGTACCTTTAACGCCCGCCATGTCTCCCGAACTGGGGCCGCGGCTGCTTCCGGCTTCCTGCCACGGCCCGGGCAGCCTGCCCAAGCCAGACCGGGAGTCGCCCCGCGGATCCCGAGCCCGCCCCGGCCACGCAGAGCCCCGCCCCCGCCGGTGCAGAACTCCGACCTTAGCTCGCAAACGCGGCGCCTGCTGCTCCAGACCCCGCCCCCACCACTCACAACCCCGCCCCCGCCGGTGCAGAACCCCGCCCCCAGCTCGCAGAGGCCGCGCCTGATAGTTCAGACCCGGCCTCGCTACTCAGAGCCCCGCCCCTGACAGTACAGAGCTCCTCCCCTACCTCGCGGAGGCAGCGCCTGCGGCTCCAGACCTCGCTACCGCTACTCGAAGCCCCGCCCCAGACAATGCAGAGCTCCTCCCCTAGCTCGCGGAGGCCTCCCCTGCTGGTCCCGCCCCAGCCCTCACCGGCCCAGAATTCCGCCCCCAACTCTCAGAGGCCGTCCCTGCTGGTCCCGACCCCGCCCCCGCCACCCAGAACTCCGCTCCTGCCAGTCTAGAACTCCGCCCCCAGCTCGCAGAGTCCATCTCCAGCCCTAAGGTCCCACCTGGTCCCACAGAGCTTTCCCAGAGTAACCCCAACCCAGTGCCCTGGGCCCTCCTCCTAGATCCTGAGCCCTCCAAGTAATCCTCAAGCCCGTTCAATGTGGGTTGGGACCTTGGCTCCGCCCCGACCGCGGGCCCAGAGTCTCTCCCCGGCCTCTCAGAACGCAGTGCACGCAGCGGGGGATCCTCCCTGAGCCTTCCTGAGAACGGAGATGTAGAAAGTGGGGAGAGGCAGGAGAGGGAAGGAGGGGAAAAGTTGCAATCGATGGGAGAGGGACACCGACTCACTAACCAGTGTTATGTTCCCTGAGCTCCCAAGTGCGTGCTAGTGTGCGAGTGTGTGCCTGTCTGCCTTCACATGACTGTGGCAGAGGAGAGGCGGGGTACCAGAGGACAGGCCCCTTAGGAAACACTCCTCATTAAGAACTTGATATTTGCATAGGTTTGCTTTGCTTAATAGCAACGCTTTACTGAAACTAGCGGGGTTTTTCTTTACTCCCTGGTTTATTTATAGAGACGAAGACCATATAAGCTTTTGTGTCCGAAGCTTTCATGAACCTTAAAAAAAAAAATAAAAAAAAAAAGCTATTATTTTTGTGCCTTGGGGCCTCAAAGTTTGCAGGTAACCAAGGCCAGTTTTTAGATCTCTGAGAGCCATTGTGTACTTATCTTACAGGAATGGAGAGTTCTGTTTTGGCAAAAGCAATCTAGAAGATCATTGAAACAGTCTGGTCCAAATGCTTCAACTTACATTTAAGGAAAGAGGTGCAGAAAGGATAGGACTTGCCTGTCACACAGCTCTTTGGAGGAGGTTGGATTCTGGGCCACTTCCCCTCATTCTAGCTGAGATCCACTCTACCTGATGGTGCCGTCCCTCTTCTCTTGCTTTTTCTCCGTTTTCAAAAGGACTGAAAGACAAAGGAATCTGTGGAAACCTAGCTTCCCCTGGCTACCTGAGAAGTATAAATTCTCACCACCATCATGTTTCATGATCCTTGCTCAGTTTACTTTTTCAAAATTGCACATTGAGCATGTTACTGTTTCAAGAAATGTCTATTTGTTGATTCAGTGGAGTATTTTTCTAGCTGTCAGTTTATTTTTCTAGCTCCTCTCATTTCTCCTCATAGACGGATGGCACACTCACTGAAAACAGCATTGTAATACCTGACTCACTGCTGATGCTTGGAGATCCAATACTACAGTACAGCACTTTTTACTTTGGAGCCTTCAATCTACTCAAGAGCATTGGCAGTGTATGCCACTTTGGTTTAAGGATTATTTTGAGCTGAAGGCAATTAGGAAGAAGCAAATAGGTACACGGTACTAGAAAAGCACTCTGCCCTCCCTCTATTTGCCAAAAAGCAGGATATAAGTTTACGAAGGTGTACCTCCTTCCTGCTCTACCAGGAAAGACAAAGATTAATCACCAGAGACAATTTTAGACCCCTGTCAGCCTGGAGACAACACAAGAAAAATCTACATGATAAACCTTAGTATTTGGCCTTCATCTGCAACTAGTCTCCCATATATTTGTTTTCCGACAATTTGCTGCCCCTAGAGACTCAAGATCCTTTATCTTGTCATTTCTTTAAAAATTTATTGTTCCTTGGCTAATATGCTGTATAAACCCAAGTTCTAACCAAATCTTTGAGTTGCTTATCTCTGAGTATTCCCATGTTACCTATATGAACAACGCACGTGTTGATAAACTTGCTTTACTTTTGTTCATCTGTCTTTGGCCAGTCTAATGCACAAGGACCCAGCCGGAGAACCTAAGATAGGTAGAGAAAAAGATTCTTCCTCCCCTACAAGAGCTTGTTTCCCTATCATATTATTTCTAATACCTATTAGAGCACTCAAGGGAACCTGCGTATCAGACAAGCCCTGGAAGTCTGTGGTTTTTAGCTTTCTTCGTGTAGTGCTAAGCTACTCTCATGGGGAAGATATTCTATGGGGTTAAATTTCCCTCATTCCCCCTTCCATTTCCAACCACCCATTCTGTCTCCAGAGAGCCTAAATAGGGTTTGCGGGAGCCTTCCACATCAGCCTGACTCCAGTCCCACAGAAGATAAGTGATTTTAGAGAAAACTGACAACACATCAGAAGCAGAGTTTGGTTTGAGCACCCTAGGCTCAGGAGTAAGATATTGGAAGGTGGTATGAAAGAAAAAGTTGAGGTGTTTGCCCCAGGGTAATGTCTGGAATTTAAAAAATGCTGGGACAGTGTTTGTCTTGAACAAGTTTTCTGCCCACGCCAGCTGTCCTTTCCAGGTTACCAATCACCTTAAAGAGAAAGTTAGCTATTTTGCCATAGGCTTTAACCATCTGAAAAAAATCTGCTTTTCTTTTGCCTGATGTTGCACTGAAAAAAACTGTTCTTCTACTTACTCCTTCCACATTTTCTCAAAAATAAGAGTCATCAAAAACAGAAAGTAAAACCCTAAAAACCAAATCCTTATCCCCAACTTGCCATTGATATGTTACTTGTAAGATCTGTGACCTCTGTCATGCTGCCTAGGACTACAGTGGACTTACTGGGATGAATTTTAATATTCTCTCCTTGCATTCAATAGTCTCGCATGATAAGCTAGGTTTTATTGCCTCTATCTTACAGATAGGAAAACAAGCTCCCAGTAACCAGTGAATAGGGAAGCTGAGATCAAGTCCCAAACTGTTCAGCTCTAAAGTCAGATGGTCAGCACTTGTACTATTCCCCACAGTAGATCTTATGCACCAAGAAGCAAGAATTCTTGTAGTAATTAGAAATAACAGTAACCTCTTATGCTTCACAGGGCATCAAATCCATTCACTGTCTTAATTTTCTCCAGCATATCTATTAGCATCTTGCATACAGTATACACAAAATGTTGGCTGAATTAACAAATATTAATAAGTTTACCATACACAGTATCATCTCTCCCTATCCTCAGAAAAAAAAAAATATATAGCCTCAAGCTCCAGCTCTGGGTAAATTTCTCCATGCTTTAGCTTCCTGAGGTAAGATTTACAAAAACCTGTCTCAGAATCTTTGGGGGAATTAAGTGAGAAAAAAATATATATAAAACATATATATATATATATGGTAACACCTAGGGCAGTGCACACAAGATAAATGCCAGGATGTTATATCTACACTGGGGTAGGCTTGCAAGTCAGTGCATAAGTTAAATGCAAGAATGATGCAACACTAATTGAAATCCGTAAATGTTGGTTTTCCTTCCTAATGCTCAATCACTACTTCTTTTTACATAGCTATTCCCTTTACAGAAACTACAATGCAAACCTCTTTGCCATTTTATGTAGACAGATCTCTGTAAACCCAAGGAGATAAGGAATAAGGACCAAGGTAAAAGTAACTTTGGGTTGCCTTTTCCTACTTGTGTCACTCCCTAGAATATGAGGTTTCCATGTAATTCCAGCTCCAATACCCACCTACAGTGATATACTTTGTCTTATTTACTATCAGTAACAATAACAATAATTACTATTTAGTGAGTACCCGCTTGTTAAGAGTTTATATACACAGTTCTTAATTCCTCCATTGCAGGGTTGTTAGAATTCTATTTTACAGGTGATAAAATTAAGACTCAGTTCAAGAAACTTGTCCAATATAAGAGTCTGTAAGGCTTGGCACAGTGGCTCATGCCTGTAATCCCAGCACTTTGGGAGGCTGAGGCTGGAGGATCACTTGAGGCCAGGAGTTCAAGACCATCCTGGGCAACACAGCAAGACCCCGTCTGAAAAAAAAAAAAAAAACCAGGCATGGTGGCTCTCACCTGCAGTCCTAGCTACTCAAGAGGGCTGAGGAGAGAGGATCACTTGAGCTCAGGAGTTAGGGGTTGCAGAGAGCTGTGACAGACCCACTGCATTTCAGCCTAGGTGACAGAGCAAGACTCTCTTAAAAAAAAAAAAAAGTCTATAAATGGAAAAACTAGGATTTAAACCCAGTCTTTTAATCTCAAACCAACATGTATCACTATTCCCAAAAACCATGATTTATCTTTAGAATAATCAAAATCTGCTACTTGAGCCAGCTTCCCTGATAGGTGTTTCCAGCAGGGAGACTGACTTGTTGCTGCAATAACTATTTCTGGAATTCAAATTTTGTCTTTTGTTGTTGTTGTTGTTGTTTTAGTGAGGCGGAGGTGAACTATTCCTGCAGTTACTGCATTACCAGGCTGATGTGTGGAATGGGTGGGGGAAACTCCTATTCCATCTCCCTGCTCCACAAAATCCATTTAAAATATTGTACATGGATAGAAGACATATCAGATGTTAAACTGATAAAATTAGATGCTACATTTATTTTAGCCAAAAGGCCAAAAAGCAATTGGAATTCAACTTTTTTGCTCATTCCCTACACAGACTGTGTTTCATTCACGGCATTAGGATTCAACTTGAACATTCTTCCACATGTAGATAGTACAGTGACAGGTCAAATGCTTTTGAATTACAGCATTTGTTTCCAAAGAACTAAAATATCTGAGACTTTGTTTCTATGATAAAGTCCCAGACTTCCAGGTTCAATCCTTTTGCCTCAACATACAGATTCGTTTTTTTGAAAATCCTTTGATTTTTTTGGCTAGGAGACCAGGATTTCTATGCTAATTCTTTTTGAAACATATATCATGTAGCATAATCAAAATCATGTGTGCGTGCATGTGTGTGTGTGTGTGTGTGTGTGTGTGTGTGTGTGTTGGGGCAGGAGTGATTACGTATAAATCCAGAAATCCTGTCAGATTACATTTTGGTGCATGCTTTTTGTATTCTCTCCTCATAACTTTCCTTAAAAGTAAATCATGTCAGAAGGTGGCATTCAAGCTCCTCATTGTATTCCTACAAGTACCCAAATAACTTAGATTTATACAAATATTTTTGAACCTTTTAATATACATTACAAATATTTTAGACCAATCACATTTTGTTGTAACATATTTACAAAACAAAAAATATATTACAATAAATATGATGAAACAGTGAATCTGATCAACAACAAGCTTTGTCACAACCAGTTATTTAAAAGGAATGCAAAGACCTGTTGGTCTGCATATATTAAGAGTTTTGAGATAAATAGGGGTCCAGAATTATAATGTATCCGGAAAAGAGATGTGGGGGAAAATCTCCAAATTTAAGTAAGATTCTTTCTCATTGTAATTACATAATGTTTAATGATGTTTTAAACTGTGAACATTGATGAATTATCCAAACATGATACAAAGCTAATGTAGTTCTATCATTTCAAAATACGTGACATCCACAGAATATCCTTTTAATTGTTATCATTATATACTGTAGTTCACACAATATCTACAAATGTGAATGAGAAAGAAAAACAGGTCACAGCAACATGTCTCACATTCCAATTTTAAATAAGACAAGCACATACTGGATCAAACATTATTTTATAATACGTTAATAAATAACACCTAGTTTGTTATGGTTACCTTGAACAGTTTATGACTGTATATTTAAAAAGAGAACATTTTCTTCGAGTTTCACATTGTCAGTAAAAGGTAAAATAAATAATGAACTTTAACAAACAAACAAACAAAACAAAAGAGAGAAAGAGATCTATGTAGAACCTAAAGTATTTTTGACATGCCGCTTTTCCGGTATAGCTTGCCACAAGAAAGTTAAAACAAAAACAAAAAATGATTGTCTTTTCAAAACAACTTTTAAAAGCTTTTCACAATATTGAGCATGAACCTTTGAAGATTAGCATGAAAATCTTTTTGCCCATCTGCTTTGTGGATATATTTAATATATATGTATAATGCACATTGTATATGTGCACACAAAAGAGATCTACTAAAGTCACAGAATAGCAAACTGCTTACCCCTTAAAATGAGAACCAGCCAACACACTGATCTGAATCCAGCCAGTCTGAGATCGGGAAAGCATTCATTCTTGCTTTGCTTTCACAAATGTCCCTGTATGAATGTCGTTCCTGTGGATCCCCAACCACTTTTAAAACAAAAAAGCCCACTGTAATAATTTAATGGGTCTAGATTTGCCTTGTGGGGAGGTGGGACCTGGTTCCTCAGAGCAGATACTGACAAGCCATCTGACTGGGTCTGCAGGTGAGTGCAGCTCTCTCACTGTGATCGTGCCATTCCCTTAACTCCTATTCAGTGTTGCCTTCCATTCTCTTACCACAACTGCTCACAAACCTAGAGAACACTGAGTCCACACTAGATATTGGTCCTGATAAGTTGTGAACAGGCCAAACTACTTTACCACCTGTTTCCAACTAAGAATGTTTTCTTGGCTAAACAAAAGAAGAGCATTAAGCCTTACAGCAAAATTAGATGTTTCATTTAAACCAGGTTTAGAGTTGTTATAGTAGTAAGACTTTTTATTTAATTAATCACAGTTTTCTAAAGGGAAAGAAGGGTAGCGGCCCACCTTCCTAACCAGGAATAAAGATTTCGACATCTTCAGAGTCCCTATTTTCTTTAGCCACCATTTTCATTCATTTTTAGCTTAGTCAGAAAGTTGGTGGTAATCACTGGACTGTAGTTTAATCACTGGACTATTATCACTCCCCACATTTCAAGTTCCTTTATATTTGTTAGTTCTCTTGACCAAAAGACATTTACAGTATTATGCTAAAGGCCTTAGTAAATTTTTACTTAAAAAAAAATACCTGGTGGTTTTGTTCTTGGAGTCTGCATAAAGCCACTGCTCAAATTATATCTTTCCAAGAAAAATCTAGAAACCATTAAACCATCATATAACTCTATTATCATAACTTTTGCTCATTAATCCTATTCTCAGACAATGTGATGGGTGTTATGCCTTCATGGGTGGTGGCCTCTGTTTTCCATTTCCCCAGGTAGAATGCTGAGTAGGCTCCCCAAAGGGCAGGGTGGAATGCGGTGGTTCTGCAAGGTCATCTGACTAGAAGTTCCTCTCATGCTTTGGATCTTTTATGGTGGGAACTTTGGAGAAACCAAACATCCACATTCCTTATCAATGAGAAATTAATTCATGAGTAACTTAACGGTTTAGTACTGAAAACATGTTACTGGAGTTTTTGGTTCATCTGCGAAAACCTCAGAATTGTGACACACACTAAGCATTAGCACAGGTCTGCAGCAGAGATGGAAAAGCTCATAAATTAATATAAGGGCTTTTGGCCTTGGTTTTCAAATTCAGACCAGGCATCATTGAGCTCCATGAAAATCATCTTTGCGTATTGTTCATAGGGTTGCCCAGTAGCCTGTAGAGAAAACAAAAACACACATTAGATACCACAGACCAAAATTTCATTAATATTAAATTTTTCACTGCCAATATATGGGCTCTAAGCAATGGAAATGTTTTTCTATTTGGCCATTTCTCCTTTTCAGCCTAATCTACTATATCTGACCCAAATTACTATAACCTCCCCATAATGACCTCCCCCTAGAAATGCACAAGGGTAGTAGTAATCCATCAAGAAGTAGACAACAGAGAGCTTATCAGGCAGCACAAGACGTATCTCTGTTCTCCAGACGTATCTGCCAAATGACAAAGGTTCATGACAGCCCATCTCTATTGACTGTTTTTAACTCCCATTTTCCCATTTCTAAAAAGTTCTTTGAGAGTCATAATGGGGAATACAGTTTGTGGATTTTTCTGGGCTCTTGTTTCTCCTTCTCTTTTGATTCATCAAAATTCAAGCACTACCATTGCTTCTCATTAATTCTTCTTTTCAGACTAGTACAAAAAAATGTGGAGAGATGAAAATCATATGCATCAAATTCAAGCCTGTGTTCCCAAGTGGCACTTCGATCATAGCTTCATGTCATATGACTGGTATAGTCTATGTGACAGCAAGATGACTCACTTCTTGCTGAATGTTTCTATGTATTATATGATGATTTCATTTGTCCATGAGTTACTTGAAGTTTCTGACAAGGTAGAGCCCTTAGATGTATATATACTTCAATGAAAACATAAACTGACATAATCAATGTAGTAATAATCAAGAGAGGGCAAATTTAATTCCATTCTGAATATTTTATTGATTCTCACAAATTTTACCAACTACATTCTGAAGCTTTTTCATTACCATCCTAGCTAACTATACTGCTGTATCTCTAAAGGAAAGGAGTTTTCTTCTGTCCAGCTCTTAGCCTGTCCTTACTATTGTAAGCCAGGACACAATTTACTTTTTCTTTTCTTTTTTTGGAGACAGGGTCTCACTCTGTTGCCCAGGCTGGAGTACAGTGGAGCGATCTCAGCTCACTGCAGCCTTGATCACCCAGGCTCAAGTGATCCTCCTACCTCAACCTCCCGAGTGGCTAAGACTACAGGCTTATGCCACCACACCAGCTAATTTTTTTATTTTTTTTGTAGGGACGGGGTTTTGTCATGTTGCCCAGGCTGGTCTCAAACTTGAGGGCTCGAGCGATTCGCCTACCCTGCCCCCCCCAAAGTGCTGGGATTACAGGCATGAGCCACCGTACTCAGACACAATTTACTTCTGAGCCCTAAAAATTAATCACTGGGTAAATCTTACTCTCTCTAAATAAGCCCCTGTAATATATAGTTTGATATCGTCTTTCTCATTTCATAAAGTATAACTATTTGTTTAAATATCTGATTTTAGCTCATTGACTTAATTTTATTAAAAATAGGCCATATGAACCAGCACATTTAAAGTAAAACACATACTCATAAGATAATGAAGCAAGGACCTGACAAGTTACACAACAGGGCAGGTTATACCCACTTTATCTGGGTGCACCACCAGGACAGCCTTCCTGTACACCTTCTTCACCTGCTCTGGTGTTACCAGGTCTGCCATGCCAACTGGTTTCCACTTGGTCTCCCCAGCCCATAGTACGGTATGCATCGTGGAAAGAAGGGCTCTGATATTTCTTTCTTTGCCTTCAATCCATTCCAGAATCTGTAAACACAAAGGGGATTAAGAAATTCAAATGCTTACTTACTAGTTCAGAAGGTTTCCACTAGGACTCTAGAAACCCCTTCTGCTCCAGCAACATCAAAACACTTAGGGCAACCTGTATGATCCAGGCTGTTTCCTCTACCTGGAATGCTTCTCCTCCTCAATCTCCTACCTTGTCTCCCTGGTTAACTCTATCATCTTTCAAAAGGGTGCTGAGAAATTTCACACTGTTAGACTTTGCGAGTTTGAATTCCTTTCTCTCCCATCCCCACCCCCAGAGTTATACTCAATATAAACTCCATGAGGGTAGATACTGCACTAAATAAGTAAACCTTAAAAAAGGGCCAAACTTCTCTGGGCCACTCTACCTTAAACATATTTCTACCATAATATGTACCACACTTTATTGTAATTGTGTGTTTCTCTTTGCCTGCCATTAGGCAGAGCTGTTTGAGGAAAAGTATTATTTCTTATATATCACTGTATCTCGGAACCAAATAAGTAACCTGGTGCAGAACAGAGCTCAAAAAGGCTTGTTACGTGAATTGACCCATTTAGCCATTTATTTGAACTATGAACATTCACAGTTTGAACAAATGAGGTGATTAAGTCAGAGGGATCATAAAACTGTATCAGCATTGAGTACCTAACAGGAGTTCAGCTAAGTGAGTGTTGCTGGATGAATGGTTTAGTCACATTAATGACAGCTACCCTCCCAAACAATTACATACCCTGTACCAATTAAATAATCAAACATGGTTTAAATGAAATAAACAGCTTTCTTTTATAGGAAACTGTCCGAATTTGCCTAATGAACAACGGTTATTGAGATGAAGCACAAAGTTTTTGGAAGAAATATTAAGCTTCTGTGACATTGGGTGGAGTGAAAAACATGCAAATGAAAGACCCTACATTGTACTAAAAAATGTATCAAAGAATCTAAGTTATATTAGATGTATATTATATACATCTGCAACAAATCTGTCAGGAAATTATACAGAACGGTGGTATATGTTTTCAGAATGTGTTAAGATTGACTTGCTGTTTAAGTACTGGTTTTGCAGATGCTTTAATACAGAGACAGATTACATCCTCCTCTTTCAGTTTGTTGTAGTATCAGCATATTTAGTATTTTGTCACATAGGAACTCAACCTCTCCATCTGTGAAGAGCATTCCAATTCTCTTGATCTTTACAAACTCTTCCAGACCTCATACCACTCATCAACAGAACCACCCTCTGTTTCCCAGCTAATCCGCATCCGCCTGTCCATACAACATCTTCATCTATGAAGTTATGTGGTTTTTTTTCAGCTGTGAAACAAAGGGGTTAGATTCGCTGAATTGCAAACTTAAAAAAACAAAATGCTGAAACATGCTAAAACAGTATGTTGATTTGAGGAAAAAAGTATGTTGATTTGATTTGAGGAAAAACCTCAAATCTAATTTTACCTAAACCTCCAGAATCAGAAAGAGAGAAAAGTGGAACTGCTTTGGTTAAAAGTAGAGGGAGACAATGGGGAAGACAGGAGCCACACTTCCCTCAGCCTTTCTCTCCTCTACTTTCCAAAGCTCCAGGTCTAATGTTGCAGGAATTGGTAAGTCTCAGGTACATAAATATTTCTCTATCGGTAGAGAAAAGATCCTGGGGGCTTCAGTCAATCTGGTTTAATAAAAAAGCTCTCAAAGCAGAAAGAGAAAACATAAATAATGCATTCTTCTTACCAGCAAATTCTAATGACTCATCTTTAGAATGTGAATGCCATCTGAATAACAAAATCACCTCTTAGAAAGTGCCACTGCTCATTTGAACAGGCAAACAAAAGAAATCTATATTGCCATATCATGGAATAACATTTATTTTATTAAAGAAAGTAAACAGTGTGTGCAACCTCCTCAGAGCTACTTTGCTATTAAAGGGCACAGCTGTACTCAAATCACAGCTGCAAAGACCAAATGAAATAGAGTGGCCACCAGAAATCTACTATCATGCCTTTTATAGGTGATATGGTCTGAATGTATGTGTCCCCCCAAAATTGCTATGTTGAAATTCTAACTCCAGAGGTGATGGTATTAGGAGGTTAGGGCTTCCTATTGGGAGGTGATTAGTTCATGAGACAGACCTCTTATAAATGGGATTAGTGTCCTTATGAAAGAGGCCTGAGCAAGACCTCTTTCTTCTGCCTATGAGGACACAGGGAAAAGACCACCATCCATGAACCAGGAAGATGGCCCTCACCAGACACCAAAATGGCTGGCACCTTGATCTTGGACTTCCCAGCCTTCATTAACTATGAGAAAAAAAAAATCCTGTTGTTTATAAGCCACCTAGTTTATGGTATTTTGTTATAGCAGCCTGAATGGGCTAAGACAATAGGTTACTCTCATGGCGATAGCTCCATACACATGACTTTATCACATGACTTTGTCATATAGGATAATCAAGCTGCGTCAGGGGCCTCACTCACCTTTAATTTCTCAGGATCCATTTCCTTGGCCATTTCCTCCTTTCTCATCTCAGCTATTGTCCGAGGCCCCTTTTTGTCTTTGTGAGCATTGAAACCTTGACCAGAGAGTAGGTCTTCAAAATCAGCTGCTTTTTGTTTCCCTTCTGCAATATAATTTTTGAAAATCATTACAGTTTTCATTCTTAAACATAATGCTGTATCATTATCTCACAGCATCTGGAGTCTTCAAGGTGTTTTTAATATGCATTCAGTCCTTAACCCTCATGCTTGCTTACCCTGTGAGTAGGGTAAGAGACTGTTGCATCCATTCTACAGATGAAGAAAATGAACCTGTCCAGAATCATATATGTGGCAAGGTTAAAACTGGAGGCTGGATCATGAAGCCAAATCCAATTCCATTTCCACTGTACCTTCTCTTTAGATGAGGATACTCATTATCCCTCCAGATTATAACTAACTCATATCAGTGTTGGCACTGGGATCTCGGTTTGGTACTTGAAATTCATGCATGCTACCACTTCTCTGCCCATATTCTGTTGATATTTTAGTCAATCACTTTGCTCTTTCTCTCCAAGTCTGGTTGTAGCCTCTTAATCTTTCTCAATTTGTTTGGAGAGGCAGCCGAGCATGGTGGCTAGGAACAAAGACTTTGGACCCCAACTCCCTGGGTTTGCATTCCAGCTCTGCCACTTATTAGTGATGTAATCTAGGCAAGTTACTTATTATCTCTACTCCTCAACTTCCTCATCCATAAAATGGGGATGGTGTTAGGAATATTACTCACCTTATGGACTTGTTTTGAAAATGAATTAGTTAACATTTAAAATGCTTAGAACAGTGCCTGGCTATCTAAATGCTTGTTAAAACAAAATAGAACCAAAACATAACAGTCCATACAGTCGATTCAAATCAACCAAAATCAGTTTTTGAGTTGAAAACCATTTGCTATCTCTATACTGTAAGACATACACATACCTGTTTTTGCACACACTGAAATGTAAGTGCTCTGAAACTAGGGATTTTGTTTCTTGTTCCCTGCTGCATCCTCAATGTTTTCTACACTGAAGATGCTCCATAAGTATTTGCTGATTGAAGTCACTCGCCCCACATCTATCTACTCAAAAATGGAGGGGAATTGGCATGACTCTATGGAATTGTCCAGGAAATATCCCTGCTAGTCAAGAACAAACATGATGTTACATATCCCCGACAACTGAATTCCTAACATGCTGGTGTTGTGAGCACCTGTGTTCTAGCCAGTAGAGGGTAGCAATGAAGGGCAGGGGTTCTGGAGCCAGATTGCCAGGGTTCGAATCCTGGCTCTGTCGCTTATAAGCTGTATAAACTTAGGAAATTACTTCATCGATCTGTGTCACAGCTTCCTATGATATGCGGTTGGTTTTGAAGATTATAAGAAATAATACAGGAGTCCCTCCACTTATTCACAGGCGGTATGTTCCAAGACCCCCAGTGGACACCTAAAACTGCAGATAGTACCAGACCCTATATATACAGTACTCTTTTTTTTGATCTGATAACCGAGATGGCTACTAAGTAAGTAATGGGTGGGTAGAGAATACAACATAGATGTGCTAGACAGAGGGATGCTTCACATCCTAGGCAGGATGGAGTAAGACAGTGCGAGGTTTCATCACGCTACTCATAATAGTGCACAATTTGAAATGTATGAATTGCTTATTCCTGGAATTTTCCATTTAATATTTTCAGACTGCAGTTGACCTCAGGTAACTGAAACTGCAAATAAAACCACAAATAAAGGGGGATGCCTGTACATGAAAAATGCTTAGGATAGCACCTGCCATACAGTAAGGACTCAATAAATGTTAGCTACAGCTATTAGGAAGAGCATAAGAATTGCCTTTCCATGTTCCATAGAGAGAAAGGCCTCTTCCCTCACCATGTTCCTATGTACTTCATTGGAGGGTCTGACAAAATCAGCTGAAATATAAAATGTACCAAAATAGGCTTTTAATAAACTCAAATCTAACCATCCTTCCTATGCAAAAATATTACTTTTCATTCATTGTCAAGATCCTATCCAGAGTATCCTCCAGCCTCAGGTGTTGGCACCATCATAGGTACCCCGCTGATCTCAGGAATCCACCAAGCAGAGCATAAGAAAGACCAAGTTTTCCAAGACACATGCAGTCCACCAACTGGGACCAAAGGGCAAATATGACCAATGTGCTTGAAAGATTCCCCAACTTTTTCTTCCACTTCCTCTTCCAAAGGAATAACAGCTTTAAGATCCATCTACCTCTCCACTCATATCCCTTCAACATTCATTTAGTGCCTACCCTATGCCAAGCACTATGCTAGGTGCTAATGATACCATGGCAACTAAGACACAGTCCCTGCCCTCCATCTGGTTCCAGTCTGGAGATAAACAGCCAAGTGAGCCCACGGTCACAAAATGGTATAAAAGTTAGGAGCATAGTCAACCTAGGAGCCTCCAGGTACAGCGTTGGGGGTAGGAATCATGTTTTATCTCTACAACTATAAGATTCCCTCAGAAACTACTGAATTGAAACTACCCAGAAAATACTGTCACCTTCAGAGAGACACATTCAGGCAGTATGACAACATAGACAGGCTGCCCCATAGCTAGGTCCCATACCATTATCCTTACCCAAATTACTTGATCCTTTCCCACGTTCGTTCTGGCCCCCAGGCATGGCTGAGAAGCTCACGTTGTAGTTGGGTCGGTTCTGGGGAGAGGAGTGGGGCATGCTGGGCTGAGGCTTAGGCTGTGGCTGCTGCCAGTTGTAGGCACCTCCCTGCTGCCACCCGCCACCCATAGGCTGGGGAGACGCCTTCTGTGGCGAGCTGAGAGGCGGGAATCCTCCACCCAATCCAGTTGGTGTGGTGGGTTTGCTGGCAAAGGAAGAACTACCTAAAGAAAAAAAGAGATAAAGAAGGTAAAACTATTTTGAGTGGCCTCTAACTCTTGTGTCTTAAGACACTGTTTGCAGTGGCTTTAATAGTCATTCCCTTGACTGACAGCATAAGTAATCTTCCTAATATAGATAAAGCAATTGCAGGCATACATATTATTTCCTTCATCCCCACAATAACATTTCTAGGTATGTTTTAATGGCCTCATTTTTCCTTCAGATGAACAAACTGCAGGTCAGAGCAGTTAAGTGATTTTTCTCAGAGGCACACAGCAAGTAGCTGAGCCGAGACTTGATTCTGGATCTTTGCCTCCAGGTCAAAAGAACCCTGGCTCTTCCCACTGTGCCATCCTTCCCCACCCTTCCATCTTCTGAGCAGATTCTGTTTCTTCACTAGAATAAAATTTAAAAAAAACCACCAAATGACAAGAATGGGGAATAAAACAGTCCACTCATTAAGGTGCTACTTAAACTTCAATTATTAGGATTCATCATTTTTTGTTATAAAGCATGGTTAGTGCCCAAGAGTAAATAAAGATGTTTTGAAATTTCACAAGTAGGTTTTAACTTCATACTACTTGCATTTCACTGAAGGAGAGCAAAAACAGTCAACATTCTGATAACTTTAAACAGGACAAAGGATCTTATTCAAGCTTTGAAAATGATGTTATTTTGTGCCAGGAATTTAAGTAGAATCTTGATTCCATAATCTCCAAACTTTTAAGCACTCATTGCATACAAGCTGGGCTATGTCCAAAATATGAAAACCAGCTGTGGCTTGCATTTAAAGAGGTAAAATGAGAAAACTGAAATGTGCTGATGTCCAAAGACCCTTTCATGTAATAAGTCTAAAGTAACAATAATAAAATAACTAATATTTATATAGCTCTTTAGAGTTAACAAAATGTGTTTATGTACATTACTGCTCAGATCTACACAACACTCTTAGGAAGTAAGTAGTATCACTGGCTCCACTTTAAAAATAAGGAAATTAAGGCTCAGAGAGGTTTCCTGATATACTCATGATCACACAGCCAATTAATGGAGCTGGGATTAGACTATGTG
This sequence comes from Homo sapiens, assembly GCF_000001405.40. Classification (NCBI taxonomy): domain Eukaryota; kingdom Metazoa; phylum Chordata; class Mammalia; order Primates; family Hominidae; genus Homo; species Homo sapiens. Next base: position 65,404,803 of record NC_000001.11, on the reverse strand, counting down.
CATCCTACCTCCAAATGTCATGTTCATTTACTGCACTCAGTAATCCTTAATTCCTCTCCTAATTGCTAAGCCTTTCACTACAACTCATCCCTTACTATCTCTTCTTTCTATAGATACTTTCCCTATTCTGATCCTGGGGCTCCACTTTCCTTCCCTGCTGGAAATGCATCATGATCACTGGACTTACCATCAATCTGAGTTTGAGTCTCAGCTCTGTCATTCATTCTTGCATTCGTTCTTCATTCATTCATACATATATACACTAATTCACCACTATTTGATGAGCATTACCAAGTGTCATGTACTATGCTGGGCACTAAGAATATAGCTGAAAACAGGATATAGAGAATCTTTGCTCTTCTAAAGCTGGGTAAAAAAAACTCACTCCTTTGAGCCTGAGTTTCTTCATCTGTTTAATCAAAACTATGTCTATATCACAGGTATACTGTAAAGACACAACAACTATAGGAAAGTATTACACAATTAAGCAAACAAAGAGACGTTATATATTATAAAATAATGTAAGCTCATATGCTAATAAGCACATGCCTGGTACATCTTCAGGGCTCAATAAACACTTGGTGATAGGAAAATGTAATGACAGGGCTTGTCTTCAAGCTTGGCATTGCCCCACTCATTCCATAACTAGCAGCATGAATTCCTTCTTCCTATGTCCCAGAGCCCTCCTGCCAATAGCACGGGAACATACACCTAAAACTTGGTATTCATTCTACACTGGGGTTTCATTTTATATTTAAGGAAGCTTACTCTGTTCTGAACATATGTGTTTTTTTTATTTTAAAATTTGGTAAATACAGAAAAGCCTAAAGAACTAAGAAAACCTTGCCATATGCCTACCACACTGCCAGTTATTCATTAATTTAGGAAACACTACTGAGCATCCTCTAGATGCCAGGCTGCAGATACAGTGGTGAAAAAGCAGACGCTGACCCCGCACTCATGGGGCTCATCAACATTGCAGGACTCTCTGATGTCTACCCTTCTAGAATATTTTCTCCCCATGCTCAGCAAGTCTAATTGTTAATGCTATTGAAGCAGAGAACTTACAGAAATACAAAGTGGTAGCTAAATCCAGAGACCACTGCAGTCCTCATTAAAAGCAAAGCAGTAGTTCTCAACCTTGATTGTGCATTAGAATTACCTGGGGAGCTTTTTAAAAAATGCTCCATCTTGTGTAGCCCCTACAGTAGCGGATATTTTACATTTGATTAAAGTTTCTTCCTCCCACTGTAGTGCAAGTTTCAAAGAACAGGAATATCATCAGCTTTGATTCTTTATTACATCCTGAATGCCTACCACATAATAAGTACTCAAAAATACCTGTGAAATGAGGGAATTAATGCTCAAGGGTAGAAAACCATTGACTGGATGAACTGAACTGATACCCCTTCCCACACTCAGCTACATCAACCTCTAAACCTTTTATGAGTGCAAGCTCCAGAGCTAGACTTCTTGGTGTTGAAAGCTTGTGATTTGTGCATGTTACTTAACCTGTTGTGTCCCTGTTTCCTCATCTGTAAAACGAGGATTATAACAGTCACTACTTCAAAAGATTATGAGGAAGATTAAATGAAATGATATATGTAAAACACTTTAAGTAGTGCCTGGCACATAGTAAGGCCCCAATAACTATTAACTGTTATTTTTATTGTTTTCATTATTTGACATTATATATTTGTTAATTTATTATTTGATTCCCCTTCTATAATGTAAGTTTTATTAAGGCAGGAGTTTTGTTTTGTTTGGTTATTTTTTTTACTAAAACAGTCCTAGCACCTAGAAGGCACAAAAGTGCCTTAAATACTTGTTGGATGAATCAATGCATTAAATGCATTAAAAATAAATAATAAATGAGATTTTATTGAAGTAAAATTTCATCTGATATAATATTACTTTAAAATTTGAAATTTTCAGTAAGATACAAAGAAAGGTGGAGAAGAAAATGACTGCATAAAATAATTTTGAGAGTTCTTAAAAGGGAAAAACATCTAAATAGTACAGAATGGAAGATAAAGATGCTGACACTAGTTACAGACAACAACGGTAGCCAGGCTCACATTCCCTCCATCTGGCTCTAAATGCCTCAGTAGGGCTTTCTGAGATCACAGACTATCAATATAGCCAAGATAAACCTTTGTGTCAGGGCTACCCCACCCTTATTTAACAAATCTGCACTGCCCTAGAGGAGGAAGGAAAAAGGAGGAAGAAAATGTTTCAGAACATAGTAGTCCAGTGAACCCCTCCTTGAAAACAGGCTCCTTGGTGAAATCAGTTTGAGAACTCTGGATACTGTGTCCCTCTTAGTGGTAATCAAAATCCACTGAAACCAGTGCTTCCCAATCTCACCTGCTCTCAGAACACTTATCCTGTAACATCTATTAACATATGGTGAAAATATTCTGGAAATACGATACTTGAGTCTATTTTCTGTATAGAATTTTACAAATTGACCGGAGAGCACCACAGTTAATGGAGAGAAGGGGAACGGTGTGAAGATCTCACAGGTAACATCACCGCATCACAGTTAGTGTTCTGCAAGGTTGGCATCATGTGGCACAAATCCATCTGACCAGCCCTGTCTCATACTGTTTCCCTACGCATTACTTTTGCGCAGCCAAACTCTGTTGCCATGAGCCCCTGAAAGCTCTAACTTTATTCATGCTACACATCCAGAATTAGGCACTGGAGAAATGAATCAATAAAGATGATTTCTAACCCCACATCTGATTATCGCTTTCCTTTTTTAAAAAGCCAATCTCAGGTTTCAGAGGATAGCTTAAGAATACACACTATTTGAGGTTCCAGGTGACAATACCAGCTTGCTGTAACACCAAAGACTGAGATTTGAGGCTTTATAGCTATAAATAAATGTTATTTGTATCTTGATCTTCTGAGTTTGTACCTAGTGTCCCAAGGTCGGCAAAAGGATCCAGAGTCTGGGGTTTGCTTTGATGGGTGGGAGTACCATGCGAGGATCCGGTTGGGCTGGTGGCAGCTGACTTGCTTCCCATTCCAAAGCCTCCTGAAAAGGAAATAAGGTCATTGAAAATGAGTTAGTTGTTTGAGGCTGAATTGTGAAATTCAGAATTCCAGAGTTACTGTTTATTTGTCTCCTAGGCAAATTAGGACAGGGTTTGAAAATGTCTAAGAAGTTGCTAGACCCTGTTTCCCTGACCTGGGTGAATGGTGGCCTTGAACAAGGACAGACCACAGAAAAGACAAATGCTGTTTCCAGGCCACAAGTGTGAACTATTATTTCCAGTGTTTGTTTTATTTCCAGGTCCTCATGTCACCTGACTTCACTCTTTCCTATAAGATTCGAAGTTAGGTCTGGATCTGGATTCTGGCTTTGCCAATTCCTGAGTGACCGTGGGAATCTTGCTTAACATCTTTGAGCTTCAGCATTTTACCATTAGTTTTAAAAAAGAGAAATAATATGAAACCAACATCACAGGCAACAAAAGAAAAACAAATGGGACAATTGTCAAGCTAAAAACTGCTGTTCAGGGAAGGTAACAATCAACAGAATAAGAAGGCAACAGGGTAAAAAGACTCTTATCTCTCACCATATAAAAAAATCAGCTCAAAATCCATTAAAGATTTAAATGTAAGACCCAAAACTATGGAATTACCAGAAGAAAACATACAGATGAATACCAGAAGAAAACCAACAGACGTATAAAACCAACAGATGTATAAAAAAATCCTAACAACACTAATCATCATAGAAATGCAAATCAAAACCAAAATGACATATCACCTCACTCCTGTCAGAATTGCTATTAAAAAAAACAAAAAACATGTTGGCAAGGATGTAGAGAAAAAAGGACACAGTTGGTGGGAATGTAAATTAGTACAGCCATTATGGGAAACAATTTGGAGATTCCTTAAAATATTAAAAATAGAACTGCCATATGATTTATCAATCCTGCTACTGGGTATATATCCAAAGGAAATCAAGTCAGTATGTCAAAGAGATATCTGCACTCCCATGCTTATTGCAGCACTATTCACAACAGCCAAGATATGGAATCAACCTAAGTGTCCATTAATGGATGAATGGATAAATAAAATATGGTGTATATACACAATAGAATACTATTGAGCCATAAAAAGGAAGAATTCCTATCATTTGAGATGACATGGATAAACCTAGAGAGCATTATGTTACGTGAAATAAGCCAGGCACAGAAAGACAAATACTGCATGTTCTCATTCACATGTGGAAGCTAAAAAAGTTGGTCTCATAGAAATAAAGAGTAGAATGGTGGTTACCAGGTGCTGGGGTGGTTGGAGGTAGGGCAGGGATGAGGAGGCATTGGTTAAAGGATATATTATTACAGCTAGAAAGGAGGAATAAGTCAAGAGATCCATTGTACAGCATAGTGACTCTAGTTAATGATGATCTACTACATTCTTGAAAAATCCAAAGAGAATGGATGTTAAATGTTCTCACCACAAAAATGATAACCATGTGAGGAAATGCATTTGTTAATTAGCTACATTTAACCATATCACAGTGTATGTGTACTTCAAAACATCATATTGTACACGACAAATACATACAATTTTATCTGTCAATTTAAAGAAAAATCTTTTTTTGAGACAGGTTTCTCACTCTGTCACCGAGGCTGGAGTGCAGTGGTGTGATCTCGGCTCACTGCAGCCTCAACCTCCTGGGCCTAAGTAATTCTCCCATCTCAGCCTCCCAAGTAGCTGGGACTACAGGCACACACCACCATACCTGGCTAACTTTTGTATTTTTGTAGAGATGGGGTTTTGCCATGTTGCCCGGACTGGTCATGAACTCCTGGCCTCAAGGGATCCTCCCACATCAGCCTCCCAAAGTGCTGGGATTATAAGCGTGAGCCACCACGCCCCAGCCAAAAAAAATTTTTAAATTAAAAACAGAAGGAAATCCTGTCACATGTTACAACACAGATGAACCTTGAGGATATTATACTAAGTGAAATAAGCCAGCCACAAAAGTCAAATGCTGTATGATTCTACTTATGGGAGGTATATAAAGTAGTCAAACTCATGTAGAAGGGTGGTGGCCAGGGGCTGGTGGAGGCAGAGGTAGGGAGTTATTTAGTGAGTGTAGAGTTTCAGTTATGTGAGAAGGTCAGTGGGGAGGTGGGTTCGTTCTGGGGATCTGTTGCACAACAAAGTGCATGTAGCTGATAATACTGTATTGTATACTTGGAAATTATTGGCAGGGTAAATGTTACGTTGTGGGGAAGGGGTTGCTACAATAAAAAAAGGAAACAGCAACTGCTTCAGAAAGTTGTTGTGATAAGCCCATTGTGTATGTGTTTGTATGTGCACGCGTGCACTTAACTTGCTCAATGTCAGGAGCAGTCACACAAGACAGCTCCATAAATGCCATAGTGGTCATGAGGAGGAGACCTTGTTGATGACAGACAAATCCCACCCTGAAGTAAGTACTTTGTAAAGAAGGAAGAATATTCACATTTGTCAGCATCTACACTGTGCCAGAAATTCTTATATAAGTTTTTTTTATTTAAACTTACACAACTATGTGGGACCAAAATTATTATCCCCATTGTTCAGATAAGAAAACTGAGGCTCAGACTTGCCAAAAAAACCCAAGAGTTTCTAAGTGATAGAGTTTGATATATATTTATATCCGTCTGATTCTATTGTCAAGATAAGACATTCAGCAAATGAAATTTAGAAAAGTTAAATGGTGTATGATAAGTAGCACTATCATGTCATCAAGTGCATTGGGAAAAGCTCTTCTAGAATATGAATCTTTAGGAAAAAGTGACACAAATTACACAGGTAGGCCACAATACTCTGTGAGTACTCACTTCATCTTGGGTAAGGATTATGCTTTTGCAATTATATAAATGTGTACAGAAAATAACCTGCTTTTACCTGGTTTAGCATGCCAGTCCCAACCTCCAGAAACATCTGGCTGAATGTTCACAGCAGGCGTACTAGAAGCTGCAAATGGGGAAAAGAAAAAGAATGAGAACAAGAGAGCTCAGAACCCACTTTTCTGAGTTCACACAGGATAATGCCATTCCATCCCTGAAGCCTGCATGGCCCCAGCAAGATCCCAAGATATCCACTCCTCCTTCTGAGTTCTTGCCACACTCTGCAACATTCAATATGTTCTGCCTTCACCTCTGGTTGTTCACATGAGGCTTGACAGAAACGACATATTATTTGTCTCTGCTCCTTCTTTGTCTCACTTTGGTTTTACCTCCATATCCACACGCTTTGAGTTATCATTGAGCATGTGTCTGTCTCCATTCAATTGTCAGTCCCTCGAAGTCAGGAAAGAACTATCTTATGTGTGTGTGTCCCACCTCTAAATTTAACACAGAGTCAGTGTGCAATAAGAAAAGGGGGAAAACACCTTAAGCTCAGTTTACCTTTGCTAAGCATTAAGTATAGAAGCATAATCCACTCAAAACTGACATTTTGTTTTCTCCTCTGCTGTGACATGAGTTGAGAATAATGAGTCATGCAGAACATGTACTGGGCACTGGCTATACATCATCACTATGCTGGTTGTCAGGGATGTGTCTATGGTACTCAAAATAAACTCATTACAGCTTCAAAATAAATCATTCTGACCCCCCCTCAAAGTTCCAAACATATAATTTAAAAGAAATATTTGGCTAAAAGGAATCAGGTGTACTAGAGGAATACATGTGCGTAGTAAGTTTTTTACACATCTATAAAATCTATATAGGAAACAGGATGCCATGATGAAGAATTTCTTTCTGAGGCACCTCTAGGTTTTGCCCACACAAATCAATTATTAAAATGCAAATACTAAACTGACATTGCAACTGGGATTTAAAACACACACACACGCACACACACACCCCATCACCACCAGAAGGCATCAAGATTAGCATTCCAAACCTTTTATTTCCTTGTTTTGTTTACTTAGTACCAACCAAGTCATCTAGTACCTTCCCATCATTAAGTTAAAAAGGATATGCCATTATCAGCAATAATAATTCTTTCTTTTCTATTTATCCCTTCTATTTTTACACAGTAACCCATTCCACTGAGGTGGAAGTTAGACGGTTTTGCTAGTACGTTCTATCTGATTTCCTTTAAGCTCTGATCCTAGTCTTACATCCAATTAAGACGCAGAAGTAGGTATCAGAACTTCAACCCTGTTGCTAATCAAACCCACAAACCCTTATGACTACCTACCACATGCAAGGCACCACATCAGGGGACAGAGACTGAAAGATGCATTATCTATCCTCAAGAAACTTAAGGTCTGTTAGAGAAACAGGAATATATTTTTTCAAAAAGGTAATTACCTAATATTTTAGTCTCTATTTTGCCTTTTATTATGATTATTTATTTGTTCTTCCAACATCATGTCCCAAGTGATTATTCTCTTCAGAATAGATGTTCAATAAATATTTGTTGAGCCCAAAGGCAGTATTTTTTTTATTTTCATGAGAGATTGGCGACGCCTTGCAGAAACCCGGGGGAAGTACCCTGAGGATGTCTGACCTCCCAAAGCAGACATCTGAGTGTCACCTATATTCTGTCCTATGTGAAGACGGGGAGTTGATTCAGTAACAGTGAAATGATCATTGCTTTCCCAACAAGGAGAGGAGAAAATTCTTTCCACTCGCTAGTACAATACAGACCAAAATGAGAAATGTAACCACAAAACAAAGGAGTACTAACTGGCCTAAACTGGGTTATAAACACCATGTTCTAATCAGCTCATCAGAAACAGAAAACTGGATCCAAAACTGCCAAGCTGCCAAGTATGAACACCCACGTCCATGGGACACAAAGGGTAGTACTCTTATTAAAACAATAATTTCAAAGTATTAAAATCAGGAAAACATATAGCCTTATGACACTATCACTGTGCATCAAAGAAACTTTGATGGGAAAAATGAGTTAATTCATTTTATATTTAATATTGGAAAGATAGATAGCAGCTACCATGTGCCGGTAATTCTTTTAGGCACTATGGATGCATTAATGAACAAAACAAAATTCCCTGCCTTTGTGGAATTCATGTTCTAATAGAGAGAGAGAGATGACAAAAAAATGTAACACATAAGTTAATTACTGCATATACTGGAAGTTACTAAGCACAACAGAAAGGGGAATGTAGAGTAGGGCAGGGAGACGAGTTGCAATTTGAAACGGAGGAATCAGAGTAGACTCCACTGAGAAGGTGACATTTGAGCAAACACTTGAAGGAGGTGAAGGACTTAGCCATGCAGATGCCTGGGGAAGAGTATGAGGCAGAGGAAACAGCCAGTGCAACAGCAAAGAGGCCAGTACAGCTGGAATGCAGAGAGTAAAGTGGGAAAGAATGGGAAATGAGGTCACGGGCACTGAGATGCTAGAGCATACAGAGGCTACACAGGCCATTTCAAGGACTTTGGTTTTCATGCTGAGTAAAATGGGGAGGCATTTTGAGCAGAGCAATGACATGACTTAACATTTTAAATGAGTGAGAAAACCAACTCTACTCTACATTCCTGCATCTTTTCTCCTACAGGTAGTCAACATCCAATCAGGAGACTCTCTCAAGTGAGCATGACTCAGAGGTAAGAGGGGAATTTCTTGTATATTGTCCTGAGGATGCACTTCAAATAGTTTGAGATTAAAGACTAGTTGGAAATGAACCACAAAAGTTGTTCCTGGAATCTTTTTTAGTCAAGTTTCAGTTTCACCAGTGTTGCAAAAGTCATCTTCCTTTTGCATTGGCATGGTTTCCCAAAGTCAACTGATGACTGGACTGCATTCTCCAAGCAAGCTCAGGATGCCTTCAACAATACGTCACCTTCTAGGTTGTGGCCAATAATGTTCAATAGACTTCGACATCAGGAATGAGCTACAACTCTCTGGCTCAAAGTTATTTATCCCTCACTGCAGACCTCCGGTTTTAATCAATGTTACCTAAGTGACACACTTTTATAAATGGATGTGATTATTATTACTCTTTCTATACAACCTAAGTCTCTAACATAGAAATATAATTTGGGCCACATATGTAATTTTATATTTCCTAGCAGTCACATTTTAAAAAGTAAAAAGACACTATTGAAATTATTTTTAATAATATAGTTTATTTAACCCAGTATGTTCAATATATTATGTTAATAAATGATCAATATAAAAATATTGATGAGATGTTTCACATGCCCTTTTTGTACTAAGTTTTGAAATCTGGTATGTATTTTATACTTGGAGTGTATCTCAAATCAGACTAGCCACATGTAGAGTCATCAACAGCCACACGTAACTAGTGGCTATCATATCCCAAACTTTGTTCTTTGGAATACCAATTTTGTGGACTACTAACATATTTTATTTATTTAAGACATATTTTCCCACATTTCAAAGATTTCTCTAACCAAGAAGTATCTTCCAATCATTTCATAGTGGCAGTGTTTTTTTCTTTCTTATTGGTACATAAAATAATCATATGTCCTACAATCAAGGGTCATTTATGATTCTGTCCATGTAGCTCTAATGCAAAAAAGGATACCATAGTCAAATAGGAAAGCAGAGCAAAACAAAGTTAAGCAGGTTTCTGTCCTGTAAGACAGCCCAGAGATTTTGATATGTTAAGGTGAGTTGTTAATTTCAAAAACAGAGATGTGTGAGGAAGCTTTTATCAAAAAAGCACCCACAGGGTGCTTTTATATATGAGCACTTACTGATATCTTGCAGAAAACTATGTTCCACTGAACACAATATAAAATATTTCCTTACCATGTACTGTGGGCGAAGGACTTCTTGTTGGCTGGAGAAAGGGGTCACTGGAAGCACTGGATGTGTTCAGAAAAGAACCCAGCAAATCCTGACCTGATGGTTTAGAAGGTGCTCCAAATGGGTCAAAGGTGGCACCTAGAAAACAATGGGAAAATATATTTATTTGTCCCATGAGTTCATTCACTAAATGTCACAGAATTGTCACTTCCTGTAGGGCTAACAGTGGACTCCAAGAATTTCCTATCTTTGTGGACAAAGGAGTAGTCTGGACTTACCTGTTGGATGAACTACAGTCGATACCATTGCTGCTACACAAGGCTAATCTGCCCAGCAGTTGTTAGGAGAGCATTATGCCAATGAAGTCTTAGCTGAAAACGTATTAAGCCATATATCCCACCTCGGTTTTAAGAGCAGGATTTATTTGTTATCTAGCCTTATCCCTTCTTACCATACTCAGTACATTTAAAATATCAATTTATGTTAAACTAGGGGCATTCTCCAATAACTAAAACTGCCCAACACCACAAGACAAGAGCTCAAAATTTAGTCTTTGCAACAATGCTAATATGTAACTATTATCCCCATTTTACAACTGAGAAGATTTTTCAATAATGTTACACAGACAGTTAAGTCCTGGGATTCAAATCCAGGTCTTTAACTCTAGACTTGGTGTTCTTTCTACTTCCTCTTGGGGGGATAGAATACTTGCATTCTAGACCTGGGTATGCCACTAATCCAGTGGGTATCCTCAGACAGGTCAATCAATACATCTAAGCCTCAGTTTCATTGTCTATAACATGAGGCAGAGAATTAACTGATGTCTAAGGCCCCTTCTGGCACTGGAATTCCACTAGCTGCCTGAAACTATGATGAATGAAATCATGAGAGTCACACCAGGTGCACAGTCTTAAAATGCAATTATCGAGTACTGATATCTTGGATCTTGGAAACTGTTTTCCTGACAGAGCTTTTTTTCACTTTGGCAAGTTAAAACTGTATGGAAGGAAGTGAAGTACAGATGAAATAGCATTGGCATAGGATTCAGGGCACCTGAGTTCACATCCTGGGTCCACCAATAGCTAACATTGGAGCTTGAGCCTCAACACCAATACTCTGTAATTCTGAGACCCACACTCATGAAGGATGCCTCCAGCTGAACTATCACAAGTCAAGACCAGCCCAGAGCCTTCTGGGAAGGATACGCTTGGGGAAAAAAAATGTTCCTATAGGATACTATAGGCCTGAAGAGTTGAGACATTTCTCTTTACCCTTCCTAATGTGAAGTCATCTTGGTTAATGGTGACAGGACCAAGGGGCAGCTAATTTGAGTGGGTTCTTCAGGAGCTGTGCTGGATCTCTGCTTACCCAACTACACTGTCTTATAAATGTCAAAAAATCCTAGATGACTCATAGTAGAAGGTTTGAGTCTCTGGCAATGAGACAGTGAAACTAACAGAGCCTCAAGGGGCTCAAACTCCTTACCTAGTACCAACTGCTCTGTTCTAGGAAGCTGTGCTTCCGGCATGAGTCACTTAAACATATTTTCAAATAACCAAACACTTCTCTGGATAGCCCACATATATTCAGAAAACTATAACTTCAGGAAGCCGTTATAGGAAAACAGAGGGAAAGCCCTAGAGTCAAATAACCTAGGTTTGGACACTGGCCTTATCAATTACTAGTCATATAAACCTATGCTACTGATTTAATTCTATGCTTCCATTTCCTCAACTATAAAATGGGGATAAAAATAGCCCTTATTTATTGAGTTTCTGTAAGAATTAAATAATGTTTAGTATTAAATTCCATGTCTGGCAAATAGTAAATACCTCATAAATATTAGCTATTTTTATCAATAATAATTCATCAATCAGTATGTTTAAGCAGACTAATGCAGCTCAGGGGTTGAAGTGCTAAACAAAGAAAATTAGAAGTAAGAGTGTGAAGCTCAAACGTCCACTCTTACACTACCTTAGTGTGCTACCCAAATGGACAATATTTCTATTTTCTCTTACGCTCTCAATTTAAATAAAGATACAGACCTCCTCTAAAGGACTTACAGTGAAATCAGAAAAGTCTAGCTTATTAGGAAAGTTCAATTCCACCTATTTGGCCCAAAGGTTAGAATTCAAATCTGAGAGGCACAGTGCAACATAGAAAAAATTACCTTCTCCCACTCTTAGGGTTGGAGACGCAGAGGTGGAGGTGGCAGAGCGGCGTGGTGTTGACTGGGTAGACGCAGGTCCACTAGGATGAAACACATCTTCCACTCCTGACTGTCCAGCCTGGGTGGGACCAGCTGCACCTCCACCCCCAAACAGGTCACTCAGTAGTTCAGAATTGGTGGGAGGAGCCGCTGGCGGAGAGAAGCTGTTACTCATTGCAGACCCTTCCAGGCCCAAAAGGTCCACATCCTCAGGGGGTGGAGGGGCTGCTGGCTCCTGCTGCTTTTTGCTGGGCTTCTTGACTCCATGAGGCTTGTCACCATTGGCATTGCCATGCGGACTGGAAAGTGTCAGAAGTTCATCATCTGATTGCTCACTTTCCTGATTCACTAGGGCAGCGTGGTCCTCCTCACAGAATGACTTCTCCGATTTCTGATCTGAGGAAGGCCAGTATACCATAAGAGATTAGTTGCTGACCACAGCATTGTTGGTTTTTGTTATAATATATGTATATAATTCCAGAAAGACAGAAGGATTCAGCCCTGAGCAAACAGTGTTTTTAGACCCTAATCAGTGGAACACTTGATGTATTTCACGTTACATTCAACTACCACTTGTTGAGCATCTGAGAGGCAGTAGAGCATAGGGGTAAGGAGCAGGAACTCTGGAGCCAGCCTAGGACTGAATCTCAGCTTCACTACTCACTGGCTCTATGACACTGGGCAAGTTACTTTACTTCTCTGTGCCTTGGTTTCCTCCTCAGCAAAGTGGGGATAACAAATTGTACCTAACGGCCGGGCGTGGTGGTTCACACCTGTAATCCCAGCACTTTAGGAGGCTGAGATAGGATCACTTGAGGTAAGGAGTTTGAAACCAGCTTGGCCAACATGGTGAAAACCCCATCTCTACTAATAATACAAAAATTAGCTGCACATGGTGGCGTGTGCCTGTAATCCCAGCTACTCGGGAGGCTGAGGCATGAGAATTGCTTGAACCCGGGAGGTAGAGGTTGCAATGAGCCAAGATCATGCCATTGTACTCCAGCCTGGGCTACAGAGTGAAACTGTGTCTAAATAAATAAATAGTACCTAACTCACAGGCTACTGTGAGAAATACATGAGATGATATTATAAATCACTCCAATCAATAGTAAGTAGTACCTAAGTGTTGATTTTTTTTTTCAGGCACTATGCTAGGTGCTTTGGCCGGGGAGGGTAGTACAAACCATTATCTGCTAGTCATTTGCTGACACTTCTCACTGTCTTTACTTCTCCATGTGTCCTGTAGCCAAAAGCAAATCCCTTCTCTAACAGTCTGGAGCAGAAGTGAACCACACATTTAAAAAGTGAAAAGAAGAGCTCTGCTGTGAAAGGTCCTTATACCAGCTTGAAAGGGGTACTTTCAGCACAAAATGAGCAGCAGGAAAGAGGCCTCCTCTGGGGAAGGAGTGACCTTCTAAGCCCTCCCTGAGATAGATCTTCCCACAAAAATTTGATATTTAATGCCAGATAGACCCACATTCCAAGTCAAGTATGGATCCACATCCTTTATTCCAAATTATAAAATGTAATAAGCTATGAAAAGGAAAAGATTTTCCTAAGTTTGGCATGAATTCAGTTGGTGGAAAACTGACAGACGTGAATATGAAGATACTTATAGTCTTCATTTATCTCACTTAGGGCTATTGTTTATATGTTCTACTGCAGAAATATTAATATGTTTGATTATAGGTTATTATCTGAGATATCACTTGGGATGTCAAGTTACATCACTTTATGTAGCATATCATCCTTCTAAAATCCAAAAAGTTCTGCATTCCTAAACATACCTGGCTCTGAGAGGTTCAGACAAGAGACTGTGCATCTATACTAAAACCTATTTCAGAGTCTACAGGAATTATCTCTAAATTATTTGCTAAAATGACAGTGGAGAGGAAAGAGTGAAGTTGTATTAAAAGCCCTCGCTGTGAGGAAAATAAGAGGTAAGAAAGGCCAACAGGGGATAAGAAATCTACCTACTGTCCAGATACCACTGGGTTTTCCAAATTTGAGGATTTGCTAGTTCCATTTCTCGAAAGAAAATTCTGAAAGTGAGTCTTTCAATTCAACGGAATTTTATGAACAACTTTTTCATCAAACTGAAGCCTGCAGGCGATGGGAATATTATCTTACATTCACACAACAGAGGAAGGTCAATCAGGATAATTTCAGATAAACCATACCATAGCCAGTTTCCCATGCCTTTCATACCCAAACACTGACTACCCACGTCTACACTGAATCTCACAGTTAGCCTCAGCCAGCTCTAAAGCAAGGATAGCCAATGGGTATTGATTAGGATGCCAACGTCAGGCTACTGCTGGCAGCAGCTGGAAGTGTTATATTGAGGAGGATTCTGAAAATATCTCCAGGTTTGAGAGAAAAGAACCTAGTAATCGAGCCCTTATTTCTGGTATGGCTGTTAAAGCAAGAGCAGAGATATACAGGCCAAGTGTTTGCTTTCTCTGCAGCAGGGTAAGCTCAGTTCTGCCCTGCTAGTGGTTAAGGCTCCCTGGGGGGAATGCTGATTTGATATTTTTATAATATTTAGTTGACAGCGGAAGATAGAATCCTGTGTTAATCTCATTACAGAGGCAGCAGTCTAAAGGGAGATCATAAACAAATCACACTTATTTGTCAGTCCAGGAATGACGTGACCAAAAACACAGCAGAGAGAAGGGAGAATTCAGTTTAAAATGGCCTTTTGCATCAGTCTAAGAGCATCTACTGAGTTGAAAGTAGGGAAGTTGCCTGATTTGAAAAGGGAATGAATTGGAAGGATGTAAACTTGAATGATGTCTTTTAAAAAATTTTTTAGAGATGGAGTTTTGCTCTGTCACCCAGAATGCAGTGCAGTGGCGCAATCATAGCTCACTGCAACCTTGAACTCCTGGGCTCAAGCAGTCTTCCTGCCTTAGCCTCTGACATAGCTAGGACTACAGGCATTTGCCACCACTCCCACCTAATTTTTTAAAATTTTTTGTTGAGATAGGGTCTCACTATATTGCCTGAGCTGGTCTTGAACTCCTGGCCTTCCTATCCTGGCCTTCCAAAGTGCTGGGCTTACAGGTGGGAGTCCGTGTGCCTGGATTGAATGACCTCTAAGTGCTGCTTTAATGTAGTCTGCTTCTAGGGCCAACATCTTTACAGAAGAAATACATAATCATCAAACCATGTGACTTAAAGAAACACTTGTAAATACCTTGCCAACAGAGAGAGGCAAAGAAACCACTTTGTCCGTAATGCCTGGGGTTGTCTGGAGGGATATCTATTGGAGCCTGTCCTGCAAGACAAAAAGACCATGTAGCATCAATGAGACACAGGAAATAAATAACAGAGAGGCTTCATCCTGAAAAACAAAACCATCAGGTGACTCATACCTCCTAAGGCCAGCGTATCTTGATGTTCCTGGTGAGAAGAGAAGAGGATGCTGGGATTGACATCTTTTGTGCAGTAATGTTCCCATGGTGGAGTTAAGTCTATTACTTTGTCATGGGGCTGTAGTTCTACATCCAGTGTCACCTGAAATAGCTGAGGATATTTTTCTGGTACATCACATGCATCTAACTCAGGCCTAAATAGGGATTTAAAAAAGATAAATTCAGTGAAAAACAATGGAACTGGTATGATGTTTGGCACAGAAGTCATCTTAGGTTGACTCTTAGGTTAAATCTAAGTCTCATTTCTAAAAAAGACTCAGTCATAACCAGATAAGTTACTTTACTTTTCTGAGCTTCAGTTTCCTAATCTAGAGAAAAGAGGAGAATAATGCCTGCTCAACAAATTTGAATGCTACTGCATGTAAAAGCATTCTGGAAAGCAGGGCTGATGTGACTGGCACGGCAAAATCCATTATTAAAATAGTGCAATAGGCCCACAGCCACTGTCCTGAGCCCTTGAACATCTACTCCTATCCTGGCCCCAGCAACTCCATCCCGGCTCTAGCCACCCCCACAACTGCGTTCACCTAGACCACACTATGAGATAGGTTAATGTCGGTGCAGAAAGGTCCTCCAGAAGCCTGCTTCAGTGCTATAGCGGGGCTTCTATTCTGATGCATCATTGCTGATACCATACCACTGATTAAACTGCCATCCCCACTGGAAAACACAAGGGGATACACAGATGCAAAGGATCAAAAGCAGTGATACTTTGTCCCGCTTTGTTTACCCTTATTCCCTCACATAGAATTTTAGAACTTTCTGTTTGAAGTCTTTGGTCCCTTTGTACTTCTGAAGATAAATCATATTCAACTGAAAGCTTTAGAATGCCCACAGCCTCTCTGTGCTACTGAGTGACACTCAGTAGTTCAGCAGCACAGGATTCCAGGGTATGCTACAGCCTGGTGCCATTGAGCCTCAGCACTTCACAGCTAATTTGATTCAAATAGACTTTTGGCCCAACCAGTACTTACTTGGTGAACTTTAAAACTGTTGTGTCCAGTGGTATGAATCCAGTGTGAAACTGAAGCTGGAATATCTGTGTGTTGGTCACCTAAAAATACATGAGAGAAGCACATTACAATCAATCAGCGAAAAGGGAATCTGATCAAAAGATTAGATTTTGGGGAGACATGCACCTTCAACTGTTTCAATATCTGAATTTGTGTTTACTATGGATATTAAATGACCTCCCCAGTTAGAATAGGCTCAGCTTCATTTCCAGCCTCTCCTCTACTTGAACTCTGCCTTGGCAAACCATTTTCTCATCCGCTAAATACTATGTTCTTGCACACAGGCATACTTCGACTCATTGCATTCCTTCTACCCAGGATGCCCTGTTCCAACCCAATGAACTCATCCTTTAGGGCATGTCTTAAAAGTTCATATTCTCTCTGTAGCCTTTCTAGGCCACTGCTGGCTAAAACAAACTGCTCCCATTATAACACCTCATCCTCCCTCTAATATGGTATCATGCATATTTGTACTTGCATGGATTTCCCTTGTGAAATTGAGTCCCTTAAAGGCAGAGACATAGTCTTACTCTTGTCAATCCTAAAAACCTCAGCAATGGCTGGCACAAAGCACTCACTTAGCCAATATGTGATGAATCAAAACACAATTACTTGCCACATTATTCCTAATAGCAAAAAATGGCAATATCCCAAATGTTCACCAACTGATGATTATTAACTGAGATTATCAACTAAGATTAATACATTGTGACATTACAATGGAATAATATTTGGCCATATAAGATAATGAAGTACTGACACATGCTATAACACAATAAGCTTCAAAAACATTCTAAGTGAGAGAAGGAAGCCTCAAAAGGCCACATATTGTATGATTCCATTAAATAAAATGTCCCAAATAGACAAATCCATAGAGGCAGAATGTAGATCAGTGGTTACCAGGAGATGGAGGAGAGGGAATAGGAAGTGACTGCTATAGGTACAGGGTATCTTTTGTGAGTGATGAAAATGTTCTGGAATTAGTGGTGATGTTTGCACAACCTTTTGAATAGACTAAAAACAACTGCATTGTACACTTTAAAAGGGTGACTTTTATGTTATGTGGTTTTATCTCAATTTTTTAAAATTGAAAAAATACAATCCCTTAATTCCACATCCTCAGTAGAAATCTCTTCCCTTACACTGATCCAAATGGGGCACTATAAGAAAAGCACAGGCTTCTAAAGAGTATGGTTTGCTAAGAGTTCCAGGGCTGTCATCCTCTGGCACGGACATCATGCCAAGGACTTTGGGCAAGTCACAACCTCTTTGAGTCTCAGTTCCTCCCCTGTAAGATGAAGGAGGTGAGCTAAGCAATCTTTAAACGCTCTTTTTCATTCTAAAACTACAAGTGACTCAAGCCCAAAGTGATGGGGAGAAAAGATTCAGAAATACTCCTATTGAAGACTCAGATGAACTTATGCCATGATTCTTCCAAAAACCATACCTTAGCCTGTAGCCGGCTCCCAATGGTTGACCTCAAGTGATACATGGAAACAACCACGTCTCCTTGCACAGTGATGTTCAAGGGAATGAAGATTTTTCCATCTTGGACACGATATTCTCTGTAAACACAGACCAAAATATACATTGAAAGAGAGTCCAATCTGGTACAATCACACAGACACAGGTATAGTTCTCTATGGCTCTGGCCCAGAGGACTGTTCGCCCAGGCCCGGACCCAGAAACTATTTCCTATCTTGAGCAAAAACAGGAGTGCAGCCAGTGCCAACTGGTTGTGCAGTAGGATGGTGCTGGTCTAATGCCAGGCCCCCTCTCTGCATCCCATCTGGACTGCAATTGCCCATGCCTGCTTTGCAGATCTCATTTTCCTCAAATGCATCTAGCCCCCATGTATTTGCCTTTTCTTAACTTTAAATTAATACTAAAAGCAGAGATAAAGGGAACAAAAAATCCACTGGAGATCAGGATACAAACAGAAATGTCTTGCTCTGTGAAAGTCTTGGATGCCAGTCCTCAAATTCAATCTATTCCTAACTAATTTCATGTTATGTTACCACCCACTCCCTTCTCTCCACATCCCCTATGACCACCCACTGGCACCTGCTCTTTATTATGGATTCTGTAACTTCTTTAATTACATCACCGTCTACCTAGTTGCTCACTTAGAAACCTCATTCATCAGTGATTCTTCCATTACCCTCACCTAATCCCATCAAGGCCATCTCCTTCTTCAATGACCAGGTGTCCCATGTTCCCCTTGGTCTTAATCCTGTATACAGCTTATGCTAGTCCCTTAGCCTATATCATGGTTTCATTTGAAAAAGGGCCATAACATCCCCTGATTTACTTGTACTTTTCTATGATTACCACTGATGTTGAACATTTTTTATATATCAGCTATTTCACAATGATATAGTCTTGCAGGAAGAATATGATTCAACTCATTCCTGCTCATTTACATGAGAATTGAGAAGTACATAGGAAGAAGTAAAGTATCATGACTTACTTCATTCGTTCAAAATCTGTGCAAGTCGAATATATTTTGGTTTCTCCAATGAGTACATCACAGTAAGGGCGACATCCATTCCTCTGTTTGTTGAAAAAGGGTATTGGACTGACAGTGATCGACTTAATTGTGAGAGGCTTGAAGTGAGGGCGGTAGGGCTTGTCTGCCAGTAGGTCACACATATAGCCCAGGTATCTGAAACAGAAGGTTGGCACTCTCTTGGGGCCCATCACATCAGGAGAAGCAAGCAATCAATATTTGCTATGAAGATTCTTCTTGCAAATTACTGTTATAATAAAAACTTATTCTATCAATTTCTTAAATATTAACTAGCAAAAGATAATGCGATCAATAATTTAGGAAACATTTTATCTACTGAGATTGCTGTACTTCCCCAATGAACTGATACTGGGGTATTTATTAAATCAAAAAGCTTATGGGAATTTTATAGTACTTCAATATTTGAACATCTATTCCTATTTTATCTAGCAGATCCAATTTATCAGCTAAAATTTGGCTTTGGATAAATTTTAGAATTTTATCATCAGAAGCACTTTTAATCCAAAAAATTAAGGAGATGTAGTTTTTAAAAAAATGAAGAAATTGTGATAAAAGAAAAATCAATGTTATCTAAAAACAGTTTTCTTTTTTATTCCATTTTTCAGATTATCTTTTGTAATCTTTTATTTCTATATCAGAGTTACATGAAAAAGTGAATTTTAAAACGCTTTATTCTCTATGTATTTTTGCATTTCCCTTTGTTAAATCAGGTTTCCCACAGGAGGATCACCAGTGATAAGTATAACCAGCTACTGCTGTTTTTCAATAAAGACCTGTATAATAAAACAAAAAGGGACTGGTCTTAGAGCTTGGGATCAAGAATGCTGTTCTGGCTCTGTCCACTGGGCATTAGACCTGAGGCAAATCACAACCTGTCTTGAGTCCCAGTTTCCTCACCTGTAAAATGAGGGAAGTTGGATATAAGTATTCTTTAAAGTTTCCTTCTAGTTTTAACATCATAAATTTTCGTATGGGGGCTTACAAACTGAATGACAATCTAATATCCTAATCCAATTCAGTTTTTGCATAGTTCAGGATAATGTCAGATTGATGTGGTTTGGCTATGTCCCCATCCAAATCTCATCTTGAATTGTAGCTCCCATAATCCCCAACGTGTTGTGGGAGGGATCCGGTGGGAGGTAATTGAATCATGGGGGCGGGTTTTCCCATGCTGTTCTCATGATAGTGAATAAGTCTCATGAGATCTGATGGTTTCATAAAGGGCAGTTTCCCTGCACACGCTCTCTTCCCCGCCACCATGTAAGATGTGCCTTTGCTCCTCCTTCCCCTTCCACCATGATTGTGAGGCTTCCCCAGCCATGTGGAACTGTGAATCCATTGAAACTCTTTTTCTTTATAAATTACCCAGTCTCAAGTAGTTCTTCATAGCAATATTAAAATGGACTAATACAGAGATAAAGTAAAAGAAACTTATGAAAGGATTTGTAAGGCAGATTTAAAACAGTACATGATACCAATTAGACTACATCTGTGCCTAGCCTGCATCTAGCTTACTTTACCTCCTATGGGATGGTGAAAGTCCAATTCCTGGTCGCTTTGCATATAGCAATCGAATGGCTGGGCCAGGAGTAGAGTAGAGATTACAGAAAATGAACATAGCACCAACCAGAATTGATGATGCCGCCCGTCCATCCTGTCAAAGAAAATGCATAAAATCATTATGAACATGATCAAATCAGCCATTCTCCATTGAAAATGGCAGAATTTGCAATTAAGAGACAGAGAGAGGAGAAATCCTCTTAACTGTGGGTGCTTTTCATTTAAAAATTATTCACTTGAAAACCAAAATTTGTTTCAGCTTTTTAAATCAAAGGCAGCAAGGAAAGACTTATCCTTAGAATAAAATTGATTCTAATCTGAGAAGCCCAATTTGATTTGTATATATTTGGTGAAAAATAATATAATCTTCAAAGTAATTTTGGACTTGTTGAATTAATAGTTGAAGTCTCTTGGTTTAGGACTGGAAGTAACGAGCTCACAGGTTAGGTAAATGCTGCTTGTTGGGATATGGCATATATGTATCTCATGCAAAGTATGTTCCTAGATTCGTATAAAATAAAGAACCTTCACCAGATTCAACTTCATTCAATGTAGAAATAAATCTGTTGTGGACTGAATGTTTGTATGCCCCAGAATTCATATGCTGAAATCCTAACCCCAATGTGATGGTATTAGGAGGTGGAGCTTTGGGGAGGTAATGAGGTAGGGAGAGTGGAGATCTCATGAATGGGAATTGTGCCCTTATAAGAACAGACAAAAGAGCTTGCTGTCAACTCCCTCTGCCCTTGGCCAATGTGAAAAACAAGAAGACAGCCATCTGCCACCCCAGAAGCAGGCCCTCACCAGACATTACAAGTGCAGGCACCTTGGTTGGGCACAGTGGCTCATGTCTGTAATCCCAGCACTTTGAGAGGCCAAGGCGAGCAGATTGCCTAAGCTCAGGAGGTCGAGACCAGCCTGGGCAACATGGTGAAACCCCAACTCTTCGAAAAGAAAAAAAGAAAGAAAAGAACTGCAGTCACCTTGATCTTGGACTTTCCAGCCTCCAGAACTACATTCCTGTTGTTTAAGCCACCCGGTCTATGGTATATTTGTTACAGCAGCTCAAGCTAATTAAGACAAAATTCAGTAACATCCCTGACAGATGTGACCTAGCTTCTTCTAGAACACTTTAAGTGACAGGGAGATTACTCATACTTGAAGTAGCCCATTCCAGTTTACAGAGCTCTTCCTTATACTGAATATGTTGAGTTGACTTTCATTCCTCCATAGCTTCCACTAAATGACCCTCATCCTTTTGTGAGAACAAAAAATAAACCTACTCCTTTCTTCCTATGGCAGTCCTTCACATATCTGAAATACCCTCCCTTTCTATCAATGCTTCTATTTCCCTTTTAAAACAAACTCAATCCCTTCTATTCTTCCTCACTTGATTTTCCATTTTAAGAGACATCATCATTTAGCACATTTCTTCTAAACAAATTCAAGTTTTAAAATGACAACCTTAAATGCTGCCCAGATGTGAAATGAAAGATATGAGATATATTCTGACCAAACTAGAGAAGAAATATCATCTTCTTTATTCTGGACACTATGCTTTTATTAACATAACCCCAGCCCAAGCTAGTATAAATGTAGGCTAAGTAACAACATAAGCTTTTATTATTCTCTCTATCCACTAAAACCCCTAGATTTTTTCCAGATGACATGTTAAGGTAATGTGCAAATATGTTTAATTTTTTAAAACCAGAATTCAGGACTTTACATTTATCTTGTATTTAATTTCATATTATTAATTTTTGTTAAGTGACCAACCTACAAGAACTTTTAAAATCCAAATTCACTATGTGACCCTTATAATTCTAAGAAAATTGATAAGCTGAATTTCCACATCTTCATCAAAGTTGTTGATTAAAATGAATAACTAAATAAAGCCTTCTCCCAGGAGAAAGGTGATCCATTAATCACCTACCTTTGGAAGCAGATATTCAGCCTCAACTCAACTAAATATATAACAACCTAGCCAAATTTCTCAATCTTGACTAGAAAAAACTAAGAAATATCTTGCAGGACTCCAATAAACTATCTCAACTAGTCTATTAGTCATGTGAAATGTTCTGTTGGTTTGATATGTGCTCATAACAAACCAATGGAGATTCCTTTTTTGCTAAGAGTTTAAAATCTTCTGTGCAAAACTTTCTCAGAATTGTGCCTTGAATTACCACCAGGTTCACAAGCCTACAACTTTCCAGGATCAACCTCCTTCCATACTTTGGGAAAAAATCTCCTCTCTTCATTTGCCTG
Source organism: Homo sapiens (assembly GCF_000001405.40). Classification (NCBI taxonomy): domain Eukaryota; kingdom Metazoa; phylum Chordata; class Mammalia; order Primates; family Hominidae; genus Homo; species Homo sapiens. The sequence continues at coordinate 65,382,021 of NC_000001.11, read as the reverse complement.
GCACCTCTCCTTCCTGTTTCTTCATATTACAAATGAAATCCATAATTGCTTCTCCAAGTGCTTTCGGTATTGTGTCACATAATTTAAGCCTTGAGAGTGAATTAATTTGGAGGATTGTGAGGCTCTCGTACTATCTTGCTACCTACCAGCTTTGTCTTAAACATCATTGTTACGTTCTTCCTAGTTTGACATTTGTTCCCTCTGATAAAGAAAACAGAATAAAGGAGTTAAGATTATACCACATGCTTCAAGAAATTGTTGTTGTTCTTATTCCAAACACAGTTTTAAAAAAAGGATATTTTTCTTAATCTGATTTATTTTCAGAATTTAGCCTTCCTGACACTCTTTTCACAGATCCATGGCTCTTGGATATGTAGCCTCTCTTTTTACCTGTGATGCAGGTCTTTTAAAAACTTTGGTTTTTTATTAAAAGACTAGTATAGCCTATTGTTATTATCATTTTTTTTTTTTTTGAGAGGGAATCCTACTCTGTTGCCCAGACTGGAGTGCACTGGCACGATCTCAGCCCACTGCAACCTCCGCCTCCCAGGTTCAAGCAATTCTCCTGCCTCAGCCTCCCCAGTAGCTGGAATTACAGGTGCACAGCACCACACCTGGCTAACTTTTTACATTTTTGGTAGAGATGGGGTTTCACCATGTTGGCCAGGCTGGTCTCAAACTCCTGACCTCAAGTGATCCACCTGCCTCAGTCTCCCAAAGTGCTGGAATTATAGGCATGAGCCACCACGCCCCACTATGCTTATTATTTTTAATATAATAACCAGTAGTATATTAAGATAAAAATAAGAGGCCTGGTGGGGTCACGCCTGTAATCCCAGCACTTTGGGAGGCCAAGGCGGGCAGATCATGAGGTCAAGAGATCGAGACCATCCTGGCCAACATGGTGAAAACCCGTCTCTACTAAAAATACAAAAATTATCTGGGTGTGGTGGTGCGTGCCTGTAGTCCCAGCTACTCGGGAGGCTGAGGCAGGAGAATCACTCGAACCTGGGAGGCAGAGGTTGCAGTGAGCCGAGATTGTGCCACTGCACTCCAGCCTGGCAACAGAGCAAGACTCGGTCCCAAAAAAAAAAAAAAAACAAAACAAAACAAAAAACAAAAAAAAAAAAACTCCCTCCCCCAGCTTCAATTCCATTTCCCAAAGACATGGTATTCATTTCCAACATATGCATGTCCTTTTTGAGTGAGCTTATTGAGCACCCTGTAGAACCATAATCTTTTGTTTGCCTCTTCTTTTTTCTTCTTCATTGGGTTTTTATTCTTTATGAAGAATCACTGGAACTGGGAGTTTCTGGTCTCCATTGAGCCATCTTTCCTCCATCAAGTTGTCAGATGTAGGCTCTCTGAACTTACAGCAAATTCTTGAGTAAAGAGAAAATCACCAAGGTCCTTAAGGTTGCTTAGTCCCTAAAAGTAATCTGTTCTGTTACACCATCTGCTGTGCCTTGGAAAGGAAAATCCTTTGGTCTTTAACATTAAATTCTTACAAACACCAAGTGTTATCCCTTTATTGCCAAGAGTTTGGAGATGTGAAGTAAAAAGAAAGAAAAAATGTTCTTTAACTTTCTTTCCTGTTTTAGCCAACTGGCTCTCAAGAAAGGACAGGGGGTTGGGAATCATCAAGTAATACTATAGCAAAAACATATACACTAAAGTTTATAGAAGCTTTAAAATTTATAGAAGCTTTGAAATTTCCAGCATTAATGCTCAGATTCCATTTGTGTATTCAATCACTTATTGAAGCCTTTTATGCCTGCAGTACAAAAGTTTAAAAAAAGGCATGGTTCTTTCCTGCAAGATTATAATAGTCTAGTGGGAAAATATGCAGGAGAAGAGCTTACTATGACACAGAGTATTAAAAGCCACAGAAGACATTTAGATATAATGGGAATGTCTGTATTGTGAAAATACTCAAGAGTCAGAAGGATTTTACTGAAAGTTGAGTTGTAAAGGACAGGCAAGAGTTCTGAGAAGAGTTAGGGAAAGGAACTCTAGGAAGTCAATGGTCAGAAAAACCATTAGTCTCACTGGGAATGCTCTAAAATACAGTCAATCTATGTGACTTCTTACAAGGACATAGGTATCTTTTTTCTTTTATTTTTATTCAAACACAAACAGGAAGAAAAAATAAATACGCCAATATGTTAATGTTAACTTTATTCACACAAAAGTCAATGGCATTTTTAGCTGTGCACACACTACTCCTGTTTCTACCTCCTTTATAATACTTAGCACATTCTAGAGTCCCCACACTATGTGAGTTGTGTATACATCTGCCTTTCCCACTAGTAGTCAAGCTTTAAGTCAAGAATAATAAATCCCTTTCTTATTTTTACAACTCTCACATTACCCAATTCCTAAATATGGGCTCAGTAAATCCTATTGAACTCAAATGTTACCTGTCTACCATTGTGTACAGGCTCATCCATATTTGACCAAACCAAACCATCACCACCAACAACAAAAGGTTACTCACCAAGCAGTGGACAACACAGACATTTTTGGGATTCTGCAGTAGCCAGTTATACATATTCCGACACACAGCAAAAAGGTTGTGCAGACTGGGAGCCTGCCTAATGGGCCAACTGCATTCTGAGACCTAAGGGAGCACAGCAAAAGGAAATTAATTCCTCCAGCAACTTCCTCTTCATAAGCAGGTTATCACACCAACCAACATCTTCTGGAAGTGATACCACATCCTCTCTTAATATAGATAGGAATAGTGGGAACAGGGTCCAAATGCATGAAGAAGAGGGTGTTTAACACAGCAATTTTTTAAATTAAAGAATTCTCATTCAGTAAAGGTATGAAAACACATTTTGAAGCACATTTTAAATTAAACTAGACCATTTCAAATACATCCTTGGATTTTTTTCTATTCTGTGAGGTTACATAGAATTTCATTTCTATTAAGCATAAAATGTTTTGACCTCCCCCCAAATGTTTAATTATAGGGTTATAAGTCCTGCACCATCTCTAATTTATCCCAGCTCTCGTGATAACATGAAAAGTGCTATAGAGTGAGCCAAAGGCAGGCTTGTGCATGGATCTATTTTTTTTCTCTTTTAATCAAAGGACACAACTTACAGGGGAAACCCTTGGCATTTTCATTCATTTAACATGCATATTTTTTTCACACATTATGGATCATCAACTAAGTTATAGGAATATTGCTTGGCTCTGATCCATGCAACAATCATCTAAGACAGGTATTAATATAAACCCCATTTTGCAGATGAGAAAACTGACTCTCAGAGGTTATCCAGAGTCACACTGCTGCTCAGCGTCAGCACTGCAGCCCAGATCTTCTGAATATAAATCATGTTACAACAGCACACTGGCTGACATTATCACTTGCCTCAAAATACTGTTAAGGCATGATCCCCAGTTGATTACATACTTACTAATCTAGCTAAGAAACAACAAGGAGAAGCTTAGAGTTGGACAAACTTCATAACCTCTTTAAGCCTTTCTTCATAAAATGTGGTGAACAGTACCTCTTACATAACTCACAGGATACTACATGAACATGTACTTCAAGAGCTTAGCTCAGTATCTGACACACCCAGAGTGATAATAAATGTTGGCAATTATTATCATTTTATCGGGTAACTGCCAGTGCAAAGCCCTGCAGTCAGGACTGGCCATGTTTGAAAAAAATGAAGTCCTTCATGGTGAGAGTGTAGACTGAAGGGCCAGATTATACAGTCTTGTTAAGGAGGAGAATGACTCTCAGATCTACATTTCCAAAGATCTTTCAGGCTCCAGTATGGAGAACAGAAATGGATAACAAGAGCCTAAAGGTAGGAAGACCAGTCAGGAGGTTGGTGAGGAGTGTCAATAAGGGATGATAGTGGCTAAGGCTAGCTGAGTAGCAGTGGGGTACAAACACACTTGAGGGACTCAGGAGATAGGTGGTGGGACACCTGGACATAAGACAGGTGATACATGGTGGCAGTGTGTGCATGTGGAGGGGTGTACTGAAGAGTGTGTCAGGGGAGGGAGAGGAAAGAGTCAAGCCTGAACTCCAAGTTTCCAGCTTGAATGGCTGGATAGAAGGATACAAGAAGTGCTATTTCCTGAGATACGGAATTCTGCAGAAAGAAGAGGCTTCATACAGATGATGTCAGAATGTGCTCTGCAATCCCAAATGTCTCGAATTCCTTCTATTTGACCATGGGAAAGGGAGGCAGGAGGAATTTGTTTGATTAGCCCTTTTCTGGTAATCAGATAATAAATAATCAAAATACGACTAGGAAATTATCTGTGCTCTTGGTAGAGCTGACGTCTAAAAGCAAACACATTGAGTTTCTCTGTCTGGGGCTGCCAAGAAAGCCCATTCTTTTTTGTTAATTTGTAACTTTTTTCTACAAGATGACTGTGGGGCAAATGTCAGGAGACCTTCCAGGTTACCCACTTTCATATACCTTTAGGAGAGACAAGTATGGTTTATTAAACAAAGTATTTGAAATGTTTGGCATAGCTCCCAAACAGTCCAGGGTGATCTAGCATTGGCCTCTGTCAATTTAAACTTTATGATGCCTTGCCCCTTTTACCCAACATGATTCAGGACTGTTTCTGGTCTAGTCTTTACCCACATATATATTCCCCATTGACGTGTTTGTTTTCAAGGAACGGAAATGACTTACTGACTAAAAATACAGAATAACTGGGAAGATACATTTTGCTGTCAGAGGAATCATAAAATGTACATTTGTACAAGCTCCTTTCTGTCTGCAATGTATTTTCTTCTCTTGGTAAACTCCAATTCATCTTTTAAAACCCAGGTTCAAGATCTAATAGGCCTTATTGACATTTACTGAATATTTTACCCAACTGCTGCAGAATTTATATTCTTTTCATTAGCACATGGAACATTTTCTAGAATAGACCATAGTCCACAAAACGAGTCTGTACAAATTCAAAAACACAGAAATTGGCCAGGTGTGGTGGCTCACGCCTGTAATCCCAACACTTTGGGAGGCCTAGGCAGGCAGATCACGAGGTCAGGAGTTCAAGACCAGCCTGGCCAACACAGTGAAACTCTACTAAAAACACAAAAAATTAGCTGGGCATGGTGCCAGGCACCAGTAATCCCAGCTACTCAGGAGGCTGAGGCAGGAGAATCACTTGAACCTGGGAGGTGGAGGTTGCAGTGAACTGAGATCACACCATTGCACTCTAGCCCAGGCAACAGTGCAAGACTTCGTCTCAAAAAAATAAATAAATAAAATAAATAAATAAATAAAATAGAAATCATACCAAGCATCTTCTCTGACCACAATGGAATAAAACTTTACAACTAAATAACAAAAGGAAACTTGGAAAATACATAAACACATGGAAATTAAACAACCAATGAGTCAATGAAGAAATTAGGAAGGAAATTTAAAAATTTCTTGAAACAAATTAAAATGGAAATATACAAAAACATATGGGATACAGCAAAAGAAGTACTAAGAGGAAAGTTTATAGCAATAAACACCTATATCGAAAAAGTAGAAAGACTTCAAATTAACAACCTAACAATACACCTCAAGGAACTGGAAAAGCAAGAACAAACTAAAGCCAAAATTACTAGAAGGAAAGAAATAATAAAGACCAGAGCAAAAATTAAGAAAATTGAAACTAAAAAGAAAAAAATTTCGACAAAATAAAAGGTTGTTTTTTTTGAAACAATATACAAAATCAATAAACCTCTAGGTAAGCTAAGAAAAAGAGAGAGAAGACCCAAATAAATAAAGCCAGGAATGAAAAAGGAGACCTAACAACTGAGACCTCAGAAATACAAAGACTCATAAGAGACGGCTACTATGAACAATTATATACCAAACAAATCAGAAAACTTAGAAGAAATGGATAAATGCCTGGACACATACAACCTACCAAGATTGAACCATGAAGAAATAGAAAACCTCAACAAACCAGTAACAAGTAATGAGATTGAGGCTGTATAAAAATTCTCCTATCAAAGAAAGGCCCAGGTCCTGACGGATTCACTGCTGTATTCTACCAAATATTTAAAAAAGAATGAATATTAATCCTACTCAAACTATTTTTTAAAAATGGAAGAAGAGGAAATACTTTCGAACTCATTCTACAAAGCCAGCATTACCTGATACTAAAACTAGAGAAGGATACAACAAAGAAGGAAAACTACAAGCCAGTGTCACTGAAGAACACAGATACAAAAATCCTCAACCAAATACTTGCAAAACAAATGCAACAACACATTAAATAGATCATTCACCATTATCAACAAAGATTCACTTCATGGCCAGGCATGGTGGCTCACGCCTGTAATCCCAGCACTTCAGGAGGCTGAGGCAGGCGGATCACGAGGTCAGGAAATCGAGACCATCCTGGCTAACACAGTGAAATCCCGTCTCTACTAAAAATACAAAAAAATTAGCCGGGCGTGGTGGCAGGTGCCTGTAGTCCGAGTTACTCGGGAGGCTGACGCAGAAGAATGGCGTGAACCCATGAGGCGGAGCTTGCAGTGAGCCGAGATCGCACAACTGCACTCCAGCCTGGGTGACAGAGCGAGACTCCGTCTCCAAAAAAAAAAAAAAAAGTTTTACTTCATTGGTACAAGGATGGCTCAATATATGCAAATCAATAAATGTTATATACCACATGAATAGAATCAAGAACAAAAAATACGTGATTATTTCAATAGATGCTGAAAAAGTATGTGATAAAATTCAACATCCCTTTATGATAAAAATCCTCATGAGGCCAGGCTCGGCAGCTCACGCCTATAATCCCAGCACTTTGGGAGGCTGAGACAGGCAGATGACTTGAGGTCATGAGTTTGAGACCAGCCATGGCCAACATGGTGAAACCCCGTCTCTACCAAAAATACAAAAATTAACCGGGCATAGTGGTAGGTGCCTGTAATCCCAGCTACTTGGGAGGCTGAGGCAGGAGAACTGCTTGAATCCAGGAGGCGGAGGTTGCAGTGAGTCAAGATCACTGCACTCCAGCCTGGGTGACAGCAAAACTCCGTCTCAAAAAAAAAAAAATCCTCAGAAAATAGATACAGAAGGAACATACCTCAAAATAATAATGGCCATCTATGACAAATCCATGGCTAACATCGTACTGAATGGAGGAAAATTGAAGGCCTTTCCTCTAAAGAATGGAACACAACAACGATACCCACTTTCGCCACTATTATTCAACATAATACTGGAAGTCCTGGCCAGAGCAATTAGGCAAAAAAAGAAATAAAGGACATCTAAATTGGAAAGGAAGAAGTCAAATTACCCTTGTTCGAACTCAACATGATCTTATGGCTAGAAAAACCTAAACACTCCACCAAAAAAACTGTTAGAACTGACAAACGAATTCAGTAAAGTTGCAGAATACAAAACCAACATGCATAAATCAACAGCATTCATATTTACTAACAGCCAACAATCTGAAAAAGAAATCAAGGAACCAATGCCATTTCCAATAGCTACAAAAAATATAAAATACCTGGGAATCAATCTAACCAAAGAAGTGAAAGATCTACACAAGAAGAACTGTAAAACTCTGATGAAAGAAATAGAAGAGGACACAAAAAAAGGAAAGGTATTCCATGCTCATGGATTAGAAGAAATAATATTGTTAAAATGGCAATACTACCCAAAGCAATGTACAGATTCAATGCAATCTCTATCAAAATGCCAATGACATTCTTCACAGAAATAAAAAAAAACCCCTAAAATGTATGTGGAACCACAAAAGACTCCAAATAGCCAAAGCCACCCTGAGCAAAAAGAACAAAGTTAGAGGCATCACATCATCTGACTTCAAAGTTTTTTACAAAGCTACCGTAACCAAAACAGCATGGTACTGGCATAAAAACAGGCACATGGACTAATGGAACAAAATAGAGAACCCAGATATAAGTCCACGCATTTACCACCAATTCATCTTTGACAAAGATTCTAAGAACTTACAGTGGGAGAGGACAGTCTTTTCCATAGATGGTGCTGGGAAAAGTGGGTAACTATATGCAGAAAAATGAAAATAGACCTATATCTCTAACTATATATAAAAATCAAATAAAATTGATTAAAAACTTGAATCCAAAACCCAAAAATATAAAATGACTAGAAGAAAACATTAGAGAAATGTTCCAGGACATTGATCTGGACAAAAATTTCTTGTGGAAGACCTCAAAAGCACACACAACCAAAGCAAAAATACACAATTGGGACTATATGAAGCTAAACAGCTTCTGCAAAGCAAAGCAAACAATCAACGAAGTGAAGAGACAACCCACTGAATGGCAGGAAATACTTGTGAACTATTCATTTGACAAGAAATTAATAACCAGAATATATAAGGAGCTCAAACAACTCAACAATAAAAAAAAAAAACAAATTAAAAACTGGGCAAAAGAGTTGAAGAGAATTAACAGATCTTCCAAAGAAGACATAGAAATGGCATACAGTTATATGAAAAAATGTCCAACATCACTAATCAGAGAAATGCAAATCAAAATCACAATATAGTGTCATCTCACTTCAGTTAAAATAGTTTGTATCAAAAAGGCAGGTAATACCAGATGCTGGTGAAAATGTGAGAAAAGGGAACTCTTATACAATGTAGGTGGGAAGGTAAATTAGTACAATCACCATAGAGGACAGTATGAAGGTTCCATATGACCCAGCAATTCCACTACTGGGTATATATCCAAAAGAAAGGAAATCAATATATCGAATATAAAGCTGCACTCCCATGTTTATTGCAGCACTATTCACAATAGCCAAAATATGGAATCAACCTAAGTGCCTACCAATGGATGAATGAATAAATAAAATGTGGTATACATATACAATGAAATATTATTCACATAAAAAAGAATGAAATCCTGTCATTTGCAGCAACATGGATGGAACTGGAGGCCATTATAACTGAAATAACCCAAGCATAGAAAGATAAATATTGCATGTTTTTTACTCATATGCAGAAACTAAAAATGTGGATCTCATGAAGATAAAGAGTAGATTAGTAGTTACCAGAGGCCAGGAAGAGGAGTGGGAGAGGGTTTGAAGGAGGAAAAAATAATATAAATGTAATTAAACTGTACACTTAAAATGGTAAAAATGGTACATTATATATGCATATTTTAACTCAAATTTTTAAAAAAGAAAAAAATGTTCAAGTGTTCTCTTGGCTCTGACTGTTTCTCTAATACTCACAGACAGAAACGCTTAGTCATCTTTATACTCATGCCCCAGTTTATTTTCATCTATTACAGCTTTTTTCAGTAGAACAACATGGTTAAATCCACAGGCTGGATTTTCACTCTGGATTTACCATTTACTACTTGATTAACCTTAGGCAATTTACTAACCTCTCCAGGCCTCAATTATCTAGTGTGTAAAGTATAAATGAGCATTACAAGATTGTTGTCAGAATTAAGTAGCACAACATAAACACAGTAAATGCTAGCTTGCGGTCAAGCTGTACTGAATAAACTGCTTATACCTGTCTCCCCTTGTAGACACCAAGCTCCATGAGAAGAGAGACCATAACTTACTCATTTTTGTAACCCCAGTGTCCACTGTGCATGTGTTGCTCATATGGTAGGTGCTCAGCAGGTATTTGCTGAGTGAATGAATGAGTGAAAGAATAAAGGAATGAACCCCATTTGGCAATCTATTTTTATAATAAGATTTGTCCACATGTACCATATCTTGAGGAGGGAACAGGTGAACCCATTTTATTGGGTTTTTTTTAGACTGTAACAGAATGAAAGTATAGAAAATTTATTTCCCCAGCAATATTTTTGAAGGTTTTAAAAACTGGCTATGACACACACACACACACACACACACACACACACACACACACACCCCAAATGTCAATATCTGTAATGAGTCTCAGCTAAAAGTTGGCTAAATTATTCTTAGCACAATAGGCTAATAGCTCCAGAATCATTAACTCAATCAAGTAAATAATATTAATTTAAAGTACTCCATAATTATATATTTACTTGATATATAATTATACACCATTAAGTAAACATACAATTAGAATTTTTTAAAAGCATGTGCTCTGTCTAAAAGGGGAAAACACTAAGGCATAAACAAAACCAACAAAATAAAAAAGGAATTCAATCACTGCAAGCTATTTTTGTAGCTCTCTGGGGTTCACAGCTTCATGCAGTAGCTGACACTTCGCAATGCTGTCGCCAGTTTTCCTGAACACCTTGAACATCTCCTGGGCTTGCTTAGCATCAGAGGACACCATACAGATTACAGCACTGCCATGATACCACCCAGTGGGAAAAAGAAGCCAAATCATCGCTAGAGCTGGATGCCATTCAATTTTCATCTCTCCATCATCCCTTGCCCAAGACAGGATGGGCAGAAGCAGCCATTCACTAAGCATAGGAATGAATGCTTCTACAGAGAGTATGACTTAATTGCTACATCTAGTGTTTTATGAATCACACACCATTTTTGGAGGATGGGGATAATTCAGTCAATCACTTATTGTAGCATTTTATTATTACCAATGTTAATCATAGCTACTACTTACTGCATGATGACTCTAAGCAAGAGACTGCTATCAAATTTATTCCTTACAACAAACCTATAAAAAAAATTCTAAGAGTGCTTGTGAGATAGGCACTCTCTTATTGGCATATCCATTTTACACAGGAGAAAAACGAGTCCAAGGAGAGGTAAAAGTGACTTGCCCAGGAAGAAGAACAGCTGAGATGTGAACCTAGGGTAATTTTTAAAGTCTAAAGTTTGTATACACTATATGGCTTCATCTCAGTTTAAAAAAATAAAATTTGTGCACTCTCCATTATACTACATTGTCTGATGACTGATAACAATAACTCCACCTTGCATTTGTAGAGTGGTTACAGCTTCAAGTGATGGCTGTATTTTACCAGGGTTAAGACATTCAATTCATGGAAGGCTTCATAACTAGAATGTGGGAGTCTCTGGTCCTCTGGCCCCCAGGCCAGGGATTGTTTTTTTCACTCCAGTTATTTCTTGTCCTGACACTGAGGCATGGTAGCAGAGTGAGAGATGAAATATGAGCTATAAACTTCTCCCACTCCAGCCAATCTCCCACCAACCTCCCACCAATGCAGAAACAACTGGGAGCTGTAGCGACCTCTTTGGTGTGCTCAGGAAGAAAAAGGGGTAAAAACATTGACCTTCAATCATGAGTCCTTTAAGACACCCAAGTTGATAATACATTTTCCAAAAATCAAATTGTTCCCAAAGGGAAAGAAATCCTAGAAGATTATGTCATTTAGAAATAGTTAAGAGGGTAGAGCCTAAAACAACCAGCTGGGCTGCAGATTTCTTTGCTGCTAGAAGGACTCTGTCACCATACTGTCCTTCCTGGGTAAACAGTGGAAGAAGGAGAGACAAAGTGGCCCTAGAATAGCATTAATCAGAACTTAAGAACTCTGGAATCAGGTTAGACTTAGTGTACATTCATCCAGCTTTCCATTTATTGCCAACAGTAATGCCAAGAAATGTGTAAAGGTTCCTGATATTCTGGGGCACAGCTATAAACCTTCTATGCAGAAACCAAACCAGTGTATACACGCATACACACACATATGCATGGAGTGGATGGGAACAGTGTTTATGTTGGGGATGATGAGAAAGGTTTAAGTATAGATAGCGGTGTTGGTTATGCAACATTGGGAATATAATTAATGCCACTGAAATTTTATGCTACAAATGGTTACAATAAGTTTATGTTATGTATATTTTACCACAATAATTTTTTTAAAGGAGCAGAAACAGATGGTTAAGCTCTCTGAAGCCTAGCAATAGATCTACATACACAGAGGAGTCATTATGAACATCTGGTTTAACTGATGCATCTTGTTGGTCTCCAGGACTTCATTGTCAGCATCAGTACTCTTATTTCCTCAAGGTGGATATTGGCTATAAAGAGTCAAAAAACATTAAAAAAAAATAAAAACACCTGAGGTTTCATACATCCTTTGCAGTCCTGAATAGGTATTCCAGTACTTCGCTTTTGAATGCTGGGCTATGTGCTATGCATTGTTTTGAGTTGTAGCCTCTGCTAAACTGAGACTAAACAAAGTCCTATTTTAACATTCTGTGACATATGCAAATACATAATAGAAAAATCAGGAAAACAGTATTGATCATTTCATACAATTCCTGTCAACCAATGTGGCTTCTAAGCATAAAAGTGAATCGAAATACAGAATGACAACCCTCAGCAAAGTAAAATCTTCCTGGAAACAGCCTGTCTTTGCCAACATCACTACCTACATCCTCAAATGCAGGTTTGAACATATACAAACAATCACATAATCATCATGTAAAATGACTGAATTCAGGTTTCAAGGCACAGAGGTATATGATGTGGGCAGATCCAGACTCCCACGAGTTTATAAATAAAAAATTCCTAAGACCTTATACACCCTTATGAATCTACAAATAAAACCAGTTCCATGTTTAGTATTTATGGTAGACTCTACCATCAACATTTATTAAAATAAGGTTTAATTTCAGACGTAGCACTCCACAGAACCGGAAGGAGTAAGAAATGGTTCTAGTCCTCATGAACTGAAAGGTAAAAACAAAGAAAACTTTTCTAAGTCATGCAACAATGAGATGCAAATCCATTCACAGTGTTAGTGCTGGGGAAAGAAAGGTCTAGGAGTTTGAAAAGAGATGTAGGCAAATCAAAAACAAAGGTAAGATGGAAATACTACGGCTTTGGGACTGCCTCCCTAAGATGCAACTAAGGGTAAAGGAGACAGGTCAGAGGATCCACTTGCATTCTGCCAAATTCTAGGACTATCTGGAAGAGCTAAAGATGTAGTGCAATCCTGTGTTTTAGGAGAGAGAATTGGAAAAGCCTCGTGGCATGTGGAAATCTTCTCCTTAGCAAAATTAGGCAAATAAAGAAGAAGATGGGCTGGGGGTGGTGGCTCACACCTATAATCCCAGCACTTTGGGAGGCTGAGGCAGGTGGATCACTTAAGGCCAGGAGTTCAAGACCAGCCTGGCCAAGATGGCAAAATCGTCTCTACTAAATATACAAAAATTAGCTGGGCATAGTGGCACACATCTGTAATCCCAGCTACTTGGGTGACTGAGGTACAAGAATCAGAACCCAGGAGGCGAAGGTTGCAGTGAGCCAAGATCATGCCACTGTACTCCAGCCTGGGCAACTGAGTGAGGCTCTTTTGGAAGGGAAGGGAAGGGAAGGGGAGGGGAGGGAAGAGAAGGGAGGGGAGGGGAGGGGGAAGAAGAAGAAGAAGAAGAGGAAGAAGAAGGAGGAGGAAGAGGAGGAGGAAGGGAGGAAGGGAGAGAGGAAGGAAGGAGGAAGGGAGAAGAAGAATGAGGAGGAGGAGAAGGAGAAGAAGGAGAAGGAGGAGAAGAAGAAGAAGAAGAAGAGGAGGAAGAAGAGGAAAGAAGGAAGGAAGGAAGGAGAAGGGAAGGAGAAGGGAAGGAAAACGGAAGGAGAAAGGAAAGAGAAGGGAAGAAGGAAGGAAGGAAGGAGACGAAGGGTGTGTGACATGGGTAGCTTTTAAGGGAGAAGGAGTAGCTCATGCAAGAAGATTGTGTGTGTCTGTGTGCACATGAGCACATGCCTATCCCTATTGGAGCATATGATTTTTGGGCAATGAAGAATGGTAAAAGATGAAGTTAGAGGAGCAGATAGAGGCTAGATCATCAAGAGCCTCACAAGATATTTTATGATTTGTATAGGCAAGAAATGACTCCACTCCTCTGACCTATATAAGCCTTTCTCCTGCTCTAAGGTCCAGCTGTCACTGGTGTCTCCCTTTACTAATCTCCCTTGGCAGGTATTATAAATATTATTTGTACTTATCTTTAGAACGTCCTGGGTTCTCTCGCCAACTAGGCTTAGGTGTCTTGAGAACAAAAACCAAATATTTATTTTATATCTATAGTGTTTAACAATTCTTTCCACATTCATGCTTTTTTATTTTTATTTTTTATTTTTGGGGAGGGATAGCATTAGGAGATATACCTAATGCTAAATGACGAGTTAATGGGTGCAGCACATTCATGCTTTTTAAAAACATTGATTATCTATGTCAGGAACTGTTGTTCTAGGTATCCAAAAAAAAAAAAAAAAAAATGCTCCCTCCTCTTCTAGGGCAAGTAAGAGCAGCCCAGGGTAGGTGTTTAATATGTAATCTCTGATTCCTTTGGTAAACCCTTAAGTCCAGTCACAAAATCTTTAGTTACACTGATAGATGCCTTTCATTAAAAACATCTTTATAGAGATTGCCTTTTATAAACATTATACAAAGAGACATCTTTATATGTATAAATGCTTCTATAATGATATCATATCTTTATTTACTTTCAGAGGGAAAATGCTCCAGATTATCACAGATCTTTCAAGGTCAAATAAAATTTCTATGAAATATTGTGTAGGATGTTCCACAGTCCTTAAATTATGAAAATAATGGCACTGACTTAGCCTCCAGTCAAGAAAAATAATTCAAAAGATTTGCCTTACATTAAGAACAAAATATCTATCCACATTTTTGTTTGATGTTAATTCACTTGTTCTGAATTAGCTAATAGATGGAATAAGAGTTGGAAGGTTATTTTATTACAGAAGATTTTAAAGAGATGCATTTAAAATCTTCATTATAGAATGGCAATTTAGATCAAACCACTTCAGAATGGCGTTATCAGTGCTTTATCAAAGAGTGGTCCCCGCAGCAACATCAGGAGCAGCCCCCAGGAAGCTGTTAGAAATGCAGATTCTTATGCCTCCCTTGTCCTTCTGAATCAGAAGTCTGTGTTTAACAAGCCCTCCAAGTGATTCTGATGCACACCAAAATTTGAGACTGTTCTCAGAATACGCTGAAAAAGAGGTCCTTAAAACTCTCCCATAGCTTATTGAATATTAGGGCAGGAAGGAGCCATATAAAGCATGTACACCAATTTTCTTGTGTGTGTTACAGATCTGGAAACTGAGGCCCAGAGATTATCAATGGTAACTGGAATTTGGAACGAAGTGTGTTCCAGCATCAAAGCTAAGATCCTAGATACACAGCATTGTCAACCAGCTATCATTTTACACATTTGACATCAAGTTTCACTTTTAAAGGATCCATGCATAGAAAGTCCATTCTATTTATTAATAGACCCAAATGAAGTTGCAGAACCAATCATATCTGAAGGCTAAGTCAAAAATATTTAGAGATGTTCTTGAGAGGGGAAAAAAATGCCTTTTTTTAGTGAGTAAGTCAGAATTCAGTGGCCAGAAATATCAGGCTCGATATCAGATTCAAACCTAAGCCAAGGTGAAACTAGGAATATTTCTCTCTCTAGTTCAAAAAACTTCTTAAAATATATTAATGGAAACACGTTCCCATTAATACTTGTCAGTACCGGTCTATCCACACTGCCTTATCTTGATACCAAGTAGCAATAAAGAAGGGTCAACGGCATAATTAGTGTAACAGCATGAAGGCAGCCAACTGCCCTAGCAGCAGTTCAATCTCCAACTTAAGCCTCATGAACACTGTGCCATGGAACAACCAGGCACCAACAGACTTGAGACCCCAACTTCGATGGTATTTCATTGACAGATACACTTTCCTGTAAGTATCCTCACCCAAGGAAAATCTTTAGGATATCTCATAGCAGCCTAATAAATATTTTGTGAACAGAAGTGTCCAGAGTGTATAGTTTTTCAGCTTCAGATGCCTAAGGGCACGTGCTTTAAGGGTATCTCTGAGGAGGAAAAGCACCATCACGTCTTCAACAGTATGATCTCAGGGCTAAAAATCCTTACCCGGCTGTGAAACTTGGCAGTTCGATAAGACTTAGGTGACAGATTGTATACTGTGTAGTGGTCAAGATGTCTGGAATCCAAAAAGCTTCGAATGTCATCAACCTGATTCCTGAATCCTATGTCAACATTGTCCAGAGGAAAGGACATCACTAGGAGAGAGATCACACAGAAAGAAAACAGGTTAAATGTTTACGTCTGCTATAACGATGGGCAGCAACGGGAAACTGAGCCAAAGGACTGTTAATAAACATGAGAAACTTACCAATAATTCTGGAGGTAACATAAGTGAAGTCTAAATCTCCCTTTGTGTAGCTAAAAGCAAGACAAAAATGGGCACTCATTAAAATGATCCAAATATGCCAAGATTTCTCTCTCTCAATCACTTGCGCATATGAACTGGGACACCGCTGTCCAGGGGGCATGTTTCGACTCCCCTCCAGCCCTTCTCTCCAACAAGGAAGGATCACTGAGAAAAGAAAGCCCGTGACCTCAGGGGTATAAATATGCCACTCCAACTGGTGCATTCTAATGCCCTTGTAGATGCCACTTCATGATCTGAATCAATCTCAGAATAGAAAACTCTGCTTATTTATCAACACCAATTGTTCTAGCTTCTTTGCCTACCTGGAAATATCTTCCATAATTGTAAGTGGCTAAGGGGTAGGGGAAGAAGTGGTTGAGAAAAAATAAATGACACCATTTTTCTGCCTACCAGGCCCTGGTTGAGAATCAGAGGTAAGAATAGTTTTATCTTTGAACAAAGATTAAAATTTTGATTAATATAATGTACTTGACGTTTGAATTTCTGATTAAGAACTGCATATTGTAACTCAAAGTGACCCTAGAATTTTCTAATACTAAACAATAAAAAATAACTCCTATGACCTGCTTATAAGAATTTTCATACAGTGGAAGAGTAGGAAACTTCTCTCACTGAATAAATGTTAAAGGGCTAGTAGGAAACAAAAACAAAGTTCTGATTTGATTACAATCCGTAGGTAATGCTTATTCAGATTGCATGTATATTTTAATCTCATTTAATCCCTAAACAACCCAAAGACACAAATCCTGTCAGGGTATAAAAAAAAAGCTCTGAGAGGTTAATTAACTTGCCTGAGGGCTCTTAGTTAACAAGGGCAGATATTGCATTAGAACCCAAGATGTTTGATTCTAAAGACAGGGAGGGCAACCATTATACTCTAATGTGGCAATGAACTGAGTCCTCCCAGCCCGTGCTTATAGCTTCTAAAGGACTTAACTTTATGTCTTCAATGACATTTCTCAGTTCATCAGATCCCATAAAATTATATCCCAAAATTGACACTCTTTGAGCCAGACAAGCAGTCAGCAGGTAACCAGATCCTTTGAGAGCATGGGGATCCACTAAATTAACTGGGAAGAATGTGCGTACCTGGTCACAGATTGTATCACTCTAGAAGATGTGTCTTTGAGGGTGTCTTTCAAGTTGTCCTTTAGGTTACTAAAGAGCCTCCCTGCACCTCCTTTTACCATGTCAAAGAGACCTCCCCCATAGCTGGGCTCCATGTCTGGAGATGAGGCACCTGCCAAAAAAAAAAAAAAACAAACAAACAAAAATGGTGATGGCAGAGAATCCACGGAAAACCAATCCCTCTTCATTCTTAAAACATACACAGACTGTCTTTAAGAGTCTGGGACAGATATTCCTGGAAATTGTGTCCCACTCTCAGAACTTATAGACTCTGAGTTATAGCATTGCTACTGGTCCTCAGGGGAGACCCAGGTCAGTCCCTCACTGAGTCCCAGGAACAGAAACCTCCAGTATTGCCGCTACTAGCCATGTGTAACAATTGAGCGCCTGAAATATGGCTAGTCTCAACTGAAATGTGCAGTAAATATAAAACACACAACACATTCCAAAGGCTTGGTGCAAAAAAAAAAGAATGTAAAGTATCTCAATATTTTTATACTGATTACATGTTGAAATAATAATTTAAATATATTGAATTAAAGAAATTATAGCTGTAAAATCAATTTCACCTGCTCCTTTTTACCTGTTTGGTGTGGATACTGAAAATTTTTAAGCTACGTATGTGGCCTTTATTGTACTACATTTGGACAGTGCTGCTCCAGAGAGACTGCTGAGGAAGAGCAGTAGTCAACTTCAGTGAGTCCAGGGCACTCCTCGGCCCTCTGATGAAGCTGACTATACTAGAAGCCCCATTCCATGGCTATCCCTTAAAGCACTGGTTCACTTCTATCATGAAAAACACCTTCTGAAGGGGCTTTAGTACAGCTTTTAGGCCTTAGGATGCATGGCAGCTATTAGTGCTATCTGTCAAATATTTCAGGTTCTCTTCCCTTTATAGCTTCTTAAAATTGCGCTTTTTGGCCCCTTGTGCTTAGCTCCAGTCCAGGGCTTCTCAATCTCAGCACTATTGACATTTTAGGCTAAATACTTCTTTATTGTGCGTGTTTTGAGGGGGTTGTCCCTGTGCACTGCAAGGTGTTGAGTAGCATTCCTGGCCTCTATTCACTAGATGCCAGTAGCACCTGCCCCAACCCCCACTCCACCTCTGAGTTGTGACAATAAAAAATGTCTCCAGAGATTGGCAAATATCCCCTAGTGGAGGCAAAATCACCCCTGGTTGAAAACCACTGCTCCAGCCTATGTGTGTGAGGGGAAGTGCTGTGTATCACAGTGTATGTTGTGCATCACTTCCAGGGTACATTTAACTGTCAATGTGATATTCTCCATAGTTTTTCTCTCTCTCTTTCTCTCTTTCTCTGTCTCTCTCTCTCTCTGTCTGTATTTCTCTCTCCCTTTGCCATAGCAATCAGCAAGGTTGGAGACTGTGGCTGCTCTGTCCATGACTTCTGGGTCCCAGAGAAAGGAGCTATGTGGCATATGACCTTTGATGACCCAGGTGACCTTTGATGAATATTTGGCATGAGTAAGTAATATGGTTTGGTTCTATGTCCCCACTCAAATCTCGTCTCAAGTTGTAATCTCCACGGGTCAGGGGAGGAACCTGGTGGGAAGTGATTGGATCATGGAGGTGGATTTTCCCCATGCTGTTCTCATGACAGTGAGAGATCTGAAGGTTTTAAAATGTGGCACTTCCGTCCTTGCTCTCTTTCTCTGTCCTGCCATCATGTAAGATGTGACTTGCTTCCCCTTCACCCTCTGTCATGGTTGTAAGTTTCCTGAGGCCTCTACAGCCATGTGGAACTGTGAATCAATTAAACTTCTTTTCTTTATAAATTGCTGAGTCTCAGGTAGTTCTTTAAAGCAGCGTGAAAACAGACTAATACAGTAAGAAACACCTGTTTGTTAATAGAAGCCGCTGATCTTTTGGGAATGTTCATAACCAAAGCACAACCTAACCTATGCAGGCTGATACAGGAAGGAAGCAGGAATCTGTGTAGAGGAGGTGGTTAATGTGAACAGTGGCCAGGTAGGGCTTTAAGGCCTAGCAGTCAAGAGCGTGAGTCATTCTCACCTGGGTTCCTGCCCAGCTTTGCTACCCCTAGCTGTGTGACCCTGGAAGTCAGTCTTTCTAAATCTCTTTCTTCCCATCTGTAAAATAGGGATAAAAATTGTGCCTACTCCATAGGGAAAGATTAAATAAATGCATATAAAGCTGTTGGCATGGTACCTAATAAATCTAGGGGTCAAGAGAACGTAGCTAAACTCTATTATGCCACATCCTGAAATTCCTGTATTGATGGTATTTTTAATCTTTGTTCACTTTCCAACTATATGATGACAAAAGACAAGAATGGCATCTATTCTTTTTCAAAACTTGCAATATATAAGATTTTCAAAATAAAGAATAATAAAAATATTCACGTAATAGGCACTATAATTGCTAACTTATATATAACACTTACTATCTGGTAGGTATTTTTCTAAGCATTTTATCTATATTCAGTCATTTAATCCTCATAGCATCCCAATGAAATAGATAATATTATTATTCCTATGTTATAGATCAGAAAACTGAGGCACAGACGTTAAGAAACTTGTCTAAGGGCATACAAGCTAGTGAACCCAGGCAACCCTTCCAATCACATCCCACTTTCTTCTCCTAATATCAGCCTGAATTTTATATTTGTCATTCCAATTAATTTCTTCAAACTTGTATTCCATATGTTTGTATCCACAAAAAATGTATTAATATTATTTTCCAAGATTTCAAGCTGTACATAAATGGTTTTCTATTTGCATAATTTTGCAACTTTATTTTTTTCACTTACTTTTGTTTAAAATTCACCTATGCTGGTACCAAATGCAGCTTTAGCTCAATTAATGTGTGTATCAATTACCCCACTGATGGACACGTAGGCTATTTGTTATAATAAGCAACACAGTGAGGAACACATGACTTTGATAACATACATAAGACTCTCTCTAGATTATACCTACAAGCAGAATTTGCCAGTAAATAAGGTATGTACACTTCATATATCTAGATATTGACAAACCATTCTCCAAAGCAGTCACAGCAGTTTAAATTCCTACAACTAGTACATATGTGTTCCTTCACTCTATATTCTCCTTAACACTTAGTATTGTCAGACTTTTACATTTTTACCACTTTGTCAAGTATAAATAAGTATCTCACTTTGGTCCTATTTTGGTAATTTCCCTGATTACTAGTGAGGTGAAGTATCTTTTACTGTGCTTACTGGCCAGGTGGCTGTTCTTTCAATCATATTTCAGGTACCAGTACACTCCTACATGCCACTTAGATGTTCATACATATATCTATAAATACATGTTGACTGTCATGTTCTTCCATCCTGATCTTAAGAGCTATTGATACCTAACAGATGTCTAAGTCACCATTAGACATCTATTAGAAAATGAGGCTCTGTTAGAAATTGCAAAGCACATTGAATACTGGTAAACAAACAATGAATGGACATATGGACAAACATTAATCATCTCTACCACTAACTGAGCTCTCCAATGCAACAGGAACTGTGCTCAGACCTTTATGATAGTACAGTTTCATATAGCGGGAGAGTGGAAGTGGTTATTATCCCCAGTTTACAGATGAAGCAATGGAAGCTCAAAGAAGGAAAGTAACTCACCAAAGAGTCCAGTTAACGAGTGGAAGGGTCAGCAATTCAAACCCATATCTGTGCAATTCCAAAGCCTTGCTAATCTACCATTTCACACTATTCTACATCTTCACTCAGCTCAGGATTCCAACAACTATAATCAAGATGAGCCTTACCTGCCTATACACAACTGCCTCTCTCCTATTCCCTGCTCTCCTCCACCTCTCACCCACACACCTTTCATCTGGCTGCTCTCAGCGGCAGATATCCCTACAATAAGCACCCTCATAAATCACTGCATGCCAGGCAAACCAAGTCAATCTCATTACGCAGGCAGCCGAGCCTCTGTCGCCCCTACTGCTTCACAGCCCTGAATAAAAGGCCAGGAACAGGTCTAATGGGCACCTCCACAGACTACGGCTAGTGTTACAAATCTGAGAATGCTCTCTTGTGTCCTGTTTCATATGAAATAGAGCACATTATTTCCCTGTAAACACACCCCACCATGTAAAAATCTGTATCATGTTTTTGTTTTAAATATAGTGAGGATAGAGCAGCATAAAATGTTTATAATTCTCCCATTTCCATCCCTGTAACATTTTCATGTGTTCAGCCTGAACACCCCTTTGATATATAACTGTTAAAGAGAGGACATCAAATTGATTAGATGTCTCTTCAACTCTCAGTTTTATGCTGGAATAGAACTACAAGGCACCAGCCTATTAAAAGATATAAATATCCTTGATTATCTAAAAATCAGACTCTCACCATCCCTCAGGCTGCATGCTCTGCTCATTAGAGCTTTGGAATGCTGCAGAAATCAGAACAACTTGCCAGAGTCCATCTGTAACCTTCATATATTCAAATTATACGTTGAACTGGCAAGGCCACACAAAAAAGAAGAGGGGCATTATTTGATGTTGCTCTACTGGTTCTTTTAGGTAGATATTCTGGCTTTCCCTGATGAGCCACATAAGTGCCAAAAGTGCAGATTCTGCAAATATTTTAGCCTCAGCTAGTTAAGAGAAAGGGCAGAGAGGTTTCAAAATATGGCACAACAAAGAAGAAAATGGTGCAATGAGAAAGAAATGCAGAAGACAAACAATGACCACGGTAGATCAAGGGGTAACAAACTGGATCCCATGGGCCAGATCCAGTCCACGGCCTGTTTTTGTACAGTCTGTGAAATAACAATGGCTTTTACATTTTTAAATGATTGAAAAAAGTAGAAAGAAGAATGATATTTCATAACATGAAACTGGTATGAGGGTCAAATTTCAATGTCCAGAAGTAAAGTACCCTTATGTGTTTACATCTTGCCTATGGTTGCTTTCATGCTACAATGCAGAGTTAAAATAGTAGTGCCACAGATCTTACGGCCCACAAAGTCTAAAGCATTTACTCTCTGGCCCTTTACAGAAAAAGTTTTCCAACCCTTGCATCAGATGGTTAACACCACTTGTGTTCTTAGGAATGCAGAGCTTGCTACCTCCAACACCTTTCTAAATACTTTGGCTAAAATGGCACCCAGTGGAAAGAACACTCTGCTTACTAAGGGTCCTCAGGGATTTGAGGGTGTAAGAGAGTGAAGGTGAGGACATCAGAGTTGACAGAGCATGTGAGTGCCATCCAAAGAGAAAGGTCCAGGACTGCCTCTAAGGCTCCAAGTAGATTCTTGTTTCAATGATGTCTGTGGTGTGAAAATCTAAGCCCACCAAGGACAAACATCAGAGAATTGCACTTTTACCTCTGAGTCACTTTAAGGGTGTAAGAAATAAGTTTTCCTTGGGATTCCTAATGTTTGGGAAACTAGACGCAGTATCCTATTCCTTCCAAGTTGTAGGAACCTGACCAGTCCTTGCTGTCAAGAGTGACATAAAATTTGTGTTTCCTGGGAGAGAATTTCTGTCTCCCACTAGATTGCTAGTTGGCTGTTTGATCATTTATTTGTATCGAGCTTCATTCCAAAAGAGATTTGAGATGATTCAATAGTCATTTAGAAATTATATAAAGAAGATAAACACAAATGCTAGGGCTAGTCTTAACTGCCTTAATGTAACTGAAAATATAAAAAAGTGTGGCTGCTTTTCATAAACATTTTATTGATTTCTTAGCCGTGGACAAAACACTGTGAGAAGTGGTATCAAAGGAGAAGGAGTGTCCATAATGCATAGTGATCATCCCCTCATATGCTTATTCAGTACATGCCTATGGCACCCTGGGCTGTGGATAATTCCATCTGGTCCTCTAAGAAGAAATGCTCCCCCATAAAATACTGTCATCAAAAGAAGGATGGTATGCAAAAACTTACCAAAAAGAGACGTTCATCAAGATAGTGTTTACCATGGCAAGAGGCTATAAATGATGTATTTTTTTCAATAGTAAGGGAATTGTTAAATATCTCTAATAACGCCATATGGTTAGCTACTAAAATCATTTTGCAGAAAAGTACAGAAGGGCATGGCAAAGGCTAAATGTAAAATAAGCAGGCTACAACACATAATCCACTGTGTAATCTTACTTTTGTAAAAGAAAACTATCTCAGTTTAGAGAAACAATTCAGAGGATATAATAAACATAAAATAATAACAACTGAAACCTACTGAATGCCTACCACATACTAGGCCACTGATCTAAATTCTTTATATGTAGTAACACATTTAATCTTCACAAATACCCTATGAAGGCAATACCATTGCTATCTTCATCTTATACACAAGGAAACTGAAGCAAAGACATATCAGTGATTCACCCCAGGTCCTACAGTTAGTAAGCCAGGATTTGTACCCATGCAGGCTATTCTAGAGTCCAGGCTTTTATCCACTACATTTTCAAAACAGTTATAGTAATTATATTTAATTATATCTGGGAAAATGATGAGTGATTTTTGTTTGTTTTTATGATTATATTTTCTAAATTTTCTGCAAGTTACATTCATTAGGTTTTGTTTTTTTTTTTTTTTTTTTTTTGAGACTGAGTCTCGCTCTATCGCCCAGGCCAGAGTATAGTGGTGCGATCTCAGCTCACTGCAACCTCTGCCTCCCAGGTTCAAGTGATTCACCTGCGTCGGCCTCCCGATAAGCTGGGATTACAGGTGCCCGCCACCATGCCCAGCTAATTTTTGTATTTTTAGTAGAGATGGGGTTTCGCCATGTTGGTGAGGCTGGTCTTGAAGTCCTGACCTAAAGTGATCCGCCAGCCTCGGCCTCCCAATGTGCTGGGATTACAGGCATGAGCCACCGTGCCCGGCCACATTCATTAGTTTTACAATTAAAAATATGTTACATAAAATAAAGAGCCAAGTGCTATGCTATTCAAGTTTGATATGTCCTTCCTCAACAGCTGTAGAGACCTCCTTCCTCTTGCGTGATTCATCACAGTTCACAGCCACACAAGTTTCTCAGCTGGCCTGGGAGAGGCAGGCAAATGCTGCCAACAGCCCTCCAAGAGCCTGTGTGCCCCCCTCACTCCAAGCAGGCTAGGGGCTTGCCAGGAAGGAACATCCTTCTACATTTGACTTATTCTAAGACTTCAGACCCAGCTTCATCACAGTGGTAACTGTCTCAGCTCCAGCATCAATACTCAAGATGATCTAATATGCTGGGGACAGGGAGGAGATGGGCAGCAACTTGGCACCAACTGCAGTTCTTGCTCTCAAGAATTCAACCAACACTTGGCACCAACTGCAGTTCTTGGGACATCAGCCTTCTTCAGTGGATCCTCTGGGACTCCACAAAAACACTTCCACAGAACATCACTTTTCCTCTTTCCAGAATGTTTTCATCATCCAGGTCTAGTAAAGTGAGTTAGTATCCCATAGTGTTCAGGATCAGCCTTTTGGAGAGACGACTGATAAAGTGAACTTGGCATTAGAATCATGTCATATTCATGTTCCCATTCACCAGTGGGCATTTTTCTCAGTGGTTAAGAGTCACAATGTTAAAAATGTCTTGTCCTGGCTTCTATAAAATTGACAACTGTGGGATAGAAATCCCTGAAACTAAAGTGACTCTGTAGAGATGCCCCACTCTAGGGAAAAGCCATTCCTTCACAGTGCTTGGCAAAGGGCAAGGAAGGAACTCGTGTCATTATCACAAAGGGCTTCATCATCCTTCTTTGTAACAGATTTTTCAGATCTTGGCTCCCAGCAGTTAGAGAAATGGATCGTATGGGCATAACAAGTAGATATACCATGGAAAAAGCCACTGCTTTGGCTCCAAAGGCTGCTTACGTCTCATTCCCCATTCATCTCACTCCAGGGAAGCTTTGAGGAAATGTAACAGACTTTGAGAAGAGAGGTCTCAGACTTGAAACTTGGTTTTTCTGCTTAAAAGCTGTGTGACCTTGAGTATGTCATTTTACTCCTCTAGGCCTCCTTCCCCCCACCAACTCCCCACCCTATAAACTGGAACTAATTAAGAACAAAAACTTTTCTACATGCCTCATGTCATCAACAGGATCAAATAATAACACGCATGACATTGTGATTTTTATGTAATGAGATCTTCTAAAATGACCAGAAATTTTTATTTTTTTAAATTTATTTTATTTTATTTTATTTTATTTATTTATTTATTTATTTTTGAGACAGAGTATCATTCTGTTATCTAGGCTGCAGTGCAGTGGTGCAGTCTCGGCTCACTGCAACCTCCACCTCCTGGGCTCAAGTGAGTCTCCCACCTCAGCCTCCCGAGTAGCTGGGATTACAGGCATGCACCACCACACCCAGTTAATTTTTTGTAGAGACAGGGTTTCACCATGTTTCCCAGGCTGGTCTCGAACTCCTAACCTCAGGTGATTGGCCGGCCTTAGCCTCCCAAAGTGCTGGAATTACAGTTATGAGCCACCATGCCTGTCAGAATTTTTATTTTAATTCTTAGAAATTCAGCACTCATAGTACATGATTCCAAGGAATGCCTCCCACAAATGGCTGGGAATCCAACTAGAAATTAAAATTTCAGAGAAAAAAAGATAACATTTAGCAAAATAACAAATCAATAACCCCTATGCCAAACAAGAGGTTAGGCATTACAGAAGGCAACCTGTATTAAAATACAGGCTTTATGTCAGCTTCAGTTCAGCCAGAACTGATCTGGATCCTACCTCTGCTATTAGCTGGATATATAGTCTAGAGAAGTCTTGATTTCCTTATCTGTAGAATAGAAATATTAATAGAATGGCACATAGAAGATAAAGCCACAAAAAAATGCTGCCTCTAGCAAACTCACGCAGCCTTGGCCAGAAAAAAAAAAAAAAAAAAAAAAAGCCATGCTGTTCCATTTCAGGGTTAACAAAGCCAGACTGGAGATGTGTCTAGCAAGCCTCCCTAGGGTAAGAATCTCCTATTGGTGTATCCAAGCTATGGCCCATGGAAACTCTTCACTTTTGATAGTTCAGAAGAACAAATGTTTAACAGAAGTGAACCTCTTTATCACTCTGAAGTTTCTGCTTCTCATCTTGACGTGACCTGGTGCCTGGTAGGAGGACTTATTGTGAGCTATTTGCAGGACTAATATTCAGGTTCACTCAGATTCAGTAGTACTGGTTTTTGATATATTACAATACTTATGTACTAGGTGGCACGTGGTATAAGCTACAGCTGTGGCCCTGGACACAGCTGCTCAACAGACCAAGAGAGCAGAAGCAGGGGCATGTGTAGCATCCATGGAAGGCTCCAGGGGAGCTAAGCACTGGCAGGCAGAGGCCACAGAGCAGGTAATGCCAATGAGTCAGGCTTTCTCGTTTCAGGCCACATAGGAAGCATAGGCATCCAAGACCATCACAGCTCTTACAAGGCAATAGCACACCCAACTCTCTTTGTACTGCAATAAAGTGCCAGGGCCCTTAGGATAATCTTTTTCTTTTTTTTTTTTTTTTTTTTTTGAGACAGGGTGTGGCTCTCTTGCCCAGGCTGTGCAGTGCAGTGGCCCAATCTTGGCTCACTGCAACCTCCGCCTCCCAGGCTCAAGCGATCCTCCCAACTCCACCTCCTGAGTAGCTGGGACTACAGGGTTGCACCCATGCCTGGCTAATTTTTGTATTTTCTGCAGCAACGGGGTTTCGCCATGTTCTCAAACTCCTGAGCTCAAGTGATCTGCCTGCCTTGACCTCCCAAAGTGCTGGGATTACATGTGTCAGCCACTACGCCCAACCAGAATAATCAATTTAATGGGGAAGTTGCTGGAAGGTTTGGCTGGCATTCCCTATGTCAAACCATGGCCCGGAAATGGAGATCATTTAGCTAGTAACAAGAATACTCTTCAGAATGTCCAAAAATCAATTAAAAAATTGGAAATTAGAGTGATAATTTGTGCTATAAACAGTGATAATATACATGTGCTTGTGTGTATTTATTTACAGAATAAAAGGGGGTTATATTTTACATTGATATATATTGATTTCTATATTATGCTAGTGTGCCAGTTATTAAAGCTTTTGTCATCACTTACAGACACCATGAAATCTGTACGTGCACACATGAGTACGTCCACACTCACTTTTCAGGTTGTTAATGGGAAGAATACTAGACTATGATGGCTCAGCTATTTCCCAAGCTATGGGAGAATCACAAACTCAGAGTCTCCAAGAATATAAACATAGGAGAATGAATTAAGTGATTTCCTAAGTCCCCTCCACTTTTAAAATTCTTTAACACTATCATCATCCTCATACAAAGGCCATCTACTAAACATGTACTCTAGGCTAGACACTCAGCTAAGCAGTTTCCATAAACAACTAAATGGGATGCTTGCACTAAGCACAGTGGCAGGTGGGAGTCCCACTGAGGAAACTGAGGTTTTGGTGAAGTTTAGTAACAGTCACAACAGAATGAAATGAAGCTAGGTTTGGCTGGACCCAAAGCCTCTGCTCTTATTCACTTCCCCATCCTGCCTCTTTCAAGAGGTACTTTTTGTCTCTCATGCCTCCATTCTCCCACCTCATTCTGTTCCTCCATCCTAGGACTCAGAGCAGTCAGCTTGCATTATAATTACTTGTGAATGAGTCTACCTCCCCTCAACTCAATTACTTGCTATTGAGTCTTCAACAGCAAGAAGCATGTTTCATGCCTCTTCACAGTCCCCTAAGTGCAATATATGGCACACAGTAAGCACTCAATAAAAGTATGTGAAACTGAGCTGCTATGGAATGCAATAATCAAAGAGAAGATGGCAGAGATGGCAAGGAAGACCAAACAGATCAACTTTGGCAGTGATCTGGTCTTTGCTTAACTGTAGGTAGCAAATATGACTAGATGCTTTCACTGTTTCACTGTCTCCTCAAGCTTTTCAGAATTTCTGATTGCAACACTGCACCCACTGAGAAAGCCTGCCTAAAAGATGGAGATTTCTTGAAATACAACATGCGCTTTATTGTAAAGAAGGCTAATATTTGATGGGAAATGTTTATCTTCAAAGAGATAGAAGAACTAATTAAGAAACCAATACTAGCTCCTCTTTCCCAAAAGGATCGACAACATGAAAAAAGATTGATAAGAGTGGAAAAAATGAGAAATACAAAGTAATGACTACATTGAAACCAAAATGAACTCTGCGTATAATAAAGATAGGGCACAGTGTTCACAACCAGGCTGTTGGTGCTAGGGGAATTCCAGTCAAATGGATGTAACATATTTTGTTCCTTCAAGGATCAAAGAAATCAGGCTACAGGTGCCAATCCAAATTCTACTCAATAAACTCTCATATAAAACTTTACATGGATATTGCTTAATTTGATTCAACAGACAAAGTAAGTACTTATGATGTGCCAGGGAAAAGGGGTCTAAATAAGGAATCTTTACTCTTCAACATGTGGACCAAATAAAAAGGCTCTGCATTATGAAATAATAATAATCAAATCTATTCAATGAGATCAGAATCCTCAATAGAAACCTGAAGAAACAGAAAGGGTTCTGGGCACCACATGGAACCTCAACTCCAGAAAGTGAGGGGCCATCAATTGTTTTTTTCCTCCCTTCTCTAATCAAAAGATCAGGGCTTAAATTGCATAAAATGGACTATGACATTTCCCTCTTAATTACCACCCTGGAACAGAGAAAATGTCCTTGCTGTTATCTGACCTTGTCTATGATAGAGAATAGAGATAGCAGAGGACTGATGGTCTACTTAAAGAAAACTGCAAAGAGAAAAAAATAAGGCAAAAATTTTCTGTTCGACATTTCAGTTCCATTTAAGAGAGACAGGGGAGACAATATAGGCACCAAAGGGCAACTGAGAGAACTCTATCAGTCTTCCCAAACAACCCCCCATATACAGGTAGAATTTTAGAAAACCAGTGTGCTTGTTATGCATATGCAGCTCTAAGAAGCGTTTTCTCAAGCTCCTCCCCTTCTACCAAGATTGTCTTCTCTTAGCTCCAAGGCAGAAATTCTGGAGCTGCCATTGCAAGCCAACTTCTGAGAGAAAGATCAAATTACTGTTCTCCAGAAAAGTAGCAGTGGTTGTGGATGAATATTGTTTGTCGTTTACAAGATCAAGGTAAGGGTATATATGCTATGTGCTACATACAACACACACATGTGCTACACATATACCAAAGTGGCCTTACTATATGTTAGGCACCATGCTAGGAATATACAGTATCCCACACATTAAAACTGAAATATATTTTTGCTCTTATTTTTCAGATAAGGGAACTGTGTCTCAAAGAGGTCAATTCGTGCAAGCAGGCAGGCTCTGTGGCACAATGGATAGTGCATTGGACTTCTAGCCTAAATCAAAAGAGAGTCAGAGGTCAGTTCATTCACCAGATTACTTAGTTAGGATATATCCAAATGTCGGTGTGAAGACAAGACCCATGTTTTTTTCATTTCATCAGGCACAGTCAGGAACATAACAGTCAGAGAGCTGGAAGCCCCCCTTGGACAATGAGAGGAAAGAACCCAGACTCATAACACTTTAATACTCAATAGAATATTAGCAATGTATCCCTATGCCTCAAATGGATGCACCAGGAAAATAAAATGACTTCCCCAAATCATTGCCATGACTTAACTTTTTGAAAAAAATAGCTTTATTGACACATGAAATTTACATATAAAACTACATATTGAAAATGTTTATAAGGCCGGGTGCAGTGGCCCACACCTGTAATCCTAGCACTTTGGGAAGCTGAGGCGGGTGGATCACCTGAAGTCAGGAGTTCAAGACCAGCCTGGCCAACATGGTGAAACCCCGTCTCTACTAAAAACACAAAAAATTAGCCGGGCATGGTGGTGGACGCCTGTAATCCCAGCTACTTGGGAGGCTGAAGCAGGAGAATTGCTTGAACCTGAAGGCAGAGGTTGCATTGAGCCGAGATCGCGCCACTGCACTCCAGCCTGGGCAACAAGAGCGAAACTCCATCTTAAGAAAAAAAAAATATATATAACTGTGTGTGTACACACACATGTATGGATGATTCATTCTTGCAGTATATTTGATCAATGATTCTGCTATGGTGTGGTATTCTATTGTGCATTGTCTATACACAAGATGGTGAAAACACAGAGTACAACTCAGCACTGTAGCAAATATACGCATACACATACACCACACTCAAAGGGATCTCACACCAAGAAACATTTCAGATAAAAGTCCTTTATCCTTTGCAAAATATAAAATACCTAGACCTCCTGGAGAGTAGAGATCCTCTGACAATTCCTCAGAAAGCTGGGGCTACTTTGAATACTTTATATCTACTTTAAATAATTTACATCAGCAGTTCTAAAATATGAACCCACAACCATCAGTTTCAGAATTATCTGGGGTCTTTACTTAAAATGCATATTCCTGATTTCCACTTCCAACCATGATAATGGTATTGGACTTGAGCTCCTGTGATAAACTAGATAAGTTATATAAAACATCTGTTTTTTAGGCATTAAACAACAGTCTAAGAAGGACTGAGATCTTTGAAAGAAAGAAACCACACAAGATGAGCCTCACAATTGCTCCAGCTTTTGCCTGGAAGCACTTTCCTATTACCATAAAATGATCTAGAGCCCAAGTAGAATAGTGGTCCCCTGAGCTGTGAAGGCAGGGATCAAAATACAAAAACTACTAAGAAGCAGGAATATGTGGGACAATATAAAAGAAAATAGGGAGAGGCACAGTGTGGACATAGGGATTAGGGGTGCTGGAGGGATAGGAGGGAAAAGACTGCATGGAAATTCACCCTGAGTCCTTAGCTGAGGTCTGGGCTGTAAATATAGAGAGTAAGACTTCACAAGGCCCAGCAGAGACTGCCTGATGCAGGGTTGAGAACTAAACCAGCACTATATACCAGAGGTTATAAATGCTGGCATATGTTGGAGCTCTAGCATAGCCAAAATGGAAAGCTCTTGCTGAGCATCTCAGGCATTTAGCTGGATATTCAGTGTTTCTGTATCAGAAAGGCCACATCACACTAGGAATAAGGACTACACCTTGGAATAAAGGCTGCATTCCTAGGACTAAGTTGAAAACCACAATAGACCCATTTTAACAAAGAATAAAATCAAGCCTAATGACCAGAAGGATATGTCGGTAATTTAACTGTCTTCCAGAATAAAATTTAACATGTTTTCAAAGAAAATGGTAATCCAGACTTCCAACAAAGTATCATCACAATGTTTATCATACAATAAAACTACAGATATAAAGGAGCAGTAAAAATTGAACAATAAAAGAGCAGTAAATAGAAATAGAACCTGAAATGCTTCAGATATTAGAATTAGTAGACAAGAACTTTAAGCTTATTAATATGTTCAAAGGCTTAAACAAAGAGGTAGTCTAATGAGCTACCAGCAAAGAATATTTTTAAAAAGAAGAAGAAAATAGCAGAATTAAAAAGTATAATATCTGAAATGAAAATTTTGCTAAATGATCTTAACAGGAGATTCGAAACTGCAAAAGAAAATGTTATGAACTTGAAGGCAGGTCGACAGAAATTAAAAACAGAGTCTCAGTGACCTGTGAGACAACATCATGCAAGCAGTTTACCATCATGTAAGCAGAGTCTAAGAAGGGACGCAGGAAGAAAATGGAGCAGAAAAACTATTTTATTTCCAATATTTGGTGGAAAAAAATTCAACTCAAAATGCAAATGTCTCAACCTCGGCACTTAGCACTATTGAATTGTAAATTGGATAATTCTTTGTTGTGGGGGCCTGTCGTGGACATTGTAGAACTTTTGGCAGCATCCCTAGCCTCTATTAACTAATTTCAAGTAATATCCTCTCCTATCTGAACTCTAAGCAAAGACAACCAAAAATACCTCCAAACATTGCCAAACGTTTCCTAGAGAACCAACATTGTCCCTGGTTAAAAACTATTGCTGCAGATCCAAGTAACTCAGCAAACCCAAAACAGGATAAATATACAAAGAATCACCTTAGACACATCAGAATAAGACTGCCAATGAGAAAAAGAAAAAGAAAATCTTAGTAGCTGATAGAGAAAAAGATACATTACATATAGCGGAACAAAAATGTCAATAATGGCTAACATTCATCAGAAACAATGGAGGTCAAAAAATAATGAAATGAATTTTTTTAGAGTGCTGATAGAAAAAAATGATCAACCAAGAACTTTATAGACAGCAAAAAATCCTTTCAAAACAAAATTTTATATTAAAAACACAAGAAAATGTGTTGCTAATTGACCTGCATTATAAGAAATGCTAAAAGGAGTTCTTCAGCCTTAAGGGCAATGTTACCAGATGAAAACTCAGATCTGTAGGAAAGGATGAAGTGTACCAGAAATGGTAAATGTCTGGGTGAATATAAAAGATTATGGTTTTCTTCTCTTAATGCATCTGAAAGATCACTGTTGCAAGCAAAAATAACAACATTGTATTGTGGTGTTATTACACAGATGAAAAATATATGACAAAATAGCACAAAAGATGGGTGGAAGGTAAGTGAAATTTTACTGCTATAACATTCTCTTATTTTATTTTATGTATACAGTGATAAGTGAAGAATAAATATTGCAATCTCTGGAGAAACCACATACCAAATATATATATTTACATATATATTTATATATATATATTTACATATTTATTTATATATATATTTACATATATATTTTTATATATGTATTTACATATATATTTTTATATATGCATTTACATATATTTATATGTATTCACATATACTTATATATATTTACATATATATTTATATATTTACATATATATTTATATATATTTATATATATACACACATGCA
Organism: Homo sapiens; assembly: GCF_000001405.40. Classification (NCBI taxonomy): domain Eukaryota; kingdom Metazoa; phylum Chordata; class Mammalia; order Primates; family Hominidae; genus Homo; species Homo sapiens. The sequence goes on along the minus strand of NC_000001.11, from coordinate 65,348,936 downwards.
CACACACAAATATACGTACCACATATATATAGCCAAAAAGCCAGAAGAATTAAAATTTCATATTAAAATATATGCTTAATCCTAACAAAGCTGAAAAGAATAGAGAAACTAAAAACAGAAGCAATAGTTAGAAACAAATAACGAGAGTAGACTTAATCCCAATTATATTAATAATTATAATAAATCTAAATAGGCCAGATACTATCACTAAAAGACAGAGATTATCAGACTGCATAAAAAAAACACAAATTATATGCTGTCTACAAGAGATGTACTTTAATTACAAAGTTACAGATAGGTTAATAGCAAAGGATGAGAAAATATTAATCATACAGTAAGCAAAAGAAAGCAGGTAGGCCTATATTAACATGATACAAATTAATTTCAAGACAATATTACAGAGTTAAGGAATAATGTTTCATAATAATAAAGGGTCAATTATTCCATATCATTCTAAATGTATGCACAGCTTCTAAGTATATGAAGCAAAAATGAACAGAAAAGTAGACATAAAGGGACAAACCCACAATCACAAATGCAGACTTTTTAAGAACAAGTAGACAAAACATTGGTATGGGAAGAAAACATTTGAACAACAATACTACATTGCCCTAATTGACATTTATAGAATACTGCAACCAACAACTGAAGAATATACCCTCTTATCAAGTGTTTACATATGCTGGGGCATAAAATAATTATCGACAAATTTCAAAAGGTTAAAAAATGCGTATTTCTGGGTGTCAATTAAGATTCATTGAAGTGCTTTAAGGCATAATGATGAAATTAAGGCTCAAGTCACTTAGCTTGCTAGTAGCTGGCAGGGCAAGGAAACAAATATTGCTCTAACTGCAAATGGTGTGTCCCTTTTGCCATATGCTTGAATAGAGCCTAGACTGGGGAAGATAAGCCAAACATACGAATCACCAGAAAATGCCATCCTTAGTCCAATAAGGCTGTCTGCATTGCCATTGGTCATTCTCTGTTCAAACTCTGCTGTACTATGCTAAAAACTAGGAGCTCAATTACTTGAGAAAAATCATGTTAAAAACTTCTTACAAAACCATATATCAGAGAGCTCAAGGGAGGGAGTCAACCAATATATGCAACAAGGAATCCTGAGATTTTGGAACTGGAAGTACGACTGGTCAAGAAAATCTTCATTTTTGTGTGTGTGTGTATGTGTGCACGTGTGTGTGTGTGCACATGCATGTGTGTGTGATTGCAGTGTTGAGGGGAGGGGAGACAACGGGGAAAAGAGGTAAAAAGCAGAGACATGAATTCCAGTTTCTAATTTATGAAAAAAGGTTTCATTCAGATATAAATATAAACATTACCTATATTTTGTTATATTTTATACATTAAAATACGTTGCATTACACAATAATATCATATATATCTATAATATAGAAGACATAAAGAATGTGGAAAATTTGGGCACACTTAAGGACATACATAAAGAGCATCAGAAAGAAACCAAATGGCTGGGTGAGGAGGATGGAATTGAGGCTGATGAAGTAAAAAAAAAAAAGAAAATCTACAATAAAACCAGACGGGGCCTTGTGCCGTATAAAGACTGCAAAGCAGTATGATTAACTCACTTCTCTACCCCTGAGGTCTACTGAAACCAAAGAAGATGAAATTAAGATAGAGAAGAAAATAAACAAGGGTACCACTGTTAACATTTTGGAGACTATATATCCTTACATTCTTAGTTCTGTTTTTGTGTATACGTACATATACACATTTTGTGTTGTGTGTCCACATACATAGAAATAAAGATGATACTGTGTATAGATTTGGACCTGCCATATTTCCACTTAGCAATGAAATGTAGTCTTCTGAGTCATTAGTATTTTTTCTCTCATATCTCTCACAGTGCTGCATTATAATTATTAGTTGATTTTCTACTGTTTAGACACACCAAGAAGTATTATAAAGTTGCATATAAAGTAGATAAGCATTCTGAGGAGCTTATTTCCAGCCTGTGTATGTCTGTGTGTGTGTGGCAGGCAGGGGTGGTGGAGCGGGGGTGGTGTTGAAGGTTGTTGGAAAGAGGATGGCTTATGGCAGAGGTGATGCCTGAATTGCAGTTTGGATGGAAATGGGCTGAAGGGCATTTTAGTCCATTATTTAGTACAAAATAATGTTGGAGAGCAAGCAAAGGTTAAGAGAACATCATGTCAAGGACAGACATAAAAGTGAAAGGATCATAACTGAGCTCTGATTATAAGCATACTAGGGAACATGCTAGGCTTACCCAGCACTGAAAGATGAGTATTACAGTCTCCCCTAAGCAGATGAGGAAGGGTGGGGCAGGGGTCTCTGAAAAAGAAAGTAATTTTCCTAAGGCACCAACTATAATACATACTGGAACCAGGATATAATGTTGTTTCCTCAGGGAACTTGAGGGTGTGTTAGAGAGGGATGGAAGATGAGACTGGGAAGGTGAGTGCTCCTCAGACCTCAGAAGGTCAAGCTAAAAAGTAAGAACTTTTACCAAATTCTCTTACTCTCTCACACTGAGATATGGAATGACAAAAAAAAAATGGATTATCAGCAAATTTCCAACAAGCTGTTCGCAGAGCAGATTAATATTGCCTGAGACAAGTGGATTTCCCCAGGGATAGCACACTCTTTAGGGCATATTTCAAAAGCAAGTATTCCATCCCAAGCCAGCCGAAGAAAATTTCAAGGAAGTCCTTCAGCATCTAAATTATCAGAAAATTGTATTAGTAGGCACTTCCAATAGGTAGTCTCTAGTAAGCCATGCCAGGCATAAAAATGTTCAATGAGGCTAAGCAAACCCAGTGAGGACACTTCTAAATGCTAACTACACAGGGAGGCAGATACAGTCTGAAGGTGAATCCTAGGAGAAAACCCAAAAAACCCACAGCAAGCATTTGGAGGAAAATCTGCTACCTAAGTACAAAGAGAACCTGCTACTCCTCTGTTTCACTGGTCTCTAGGGCAAAGAAAGCTACCGCTAGCTGTGGGGTCAGCTTCTGGTGTGGACTTGGCTTATGGAGACCTTCTCATAAACATCTGGCCACTACCCTCCCTTGTGGAAAAACCAAACACTGAGCAAAAGTAAAGTCAATGGGAGGGGTTGGCTTCTGTGCTTGGTTGGCCAGACATGGTAGCCAACCTGGATCTGCACTCTACATACAGAAGACATGGGCTAAATCCCAAAGGCCAAAAGTACACCCTTACCTGGTGGGTAGTAGGAGGTTGGTTCCTACCCTCTCTTCAGACTCCTTCCACTCAAAAATTGACTCTCCACGTGTTACTTTTCCCAAAAATTCTCGACTCAATAATAACCACTCCTGGAGAACCAGGAAAAGAGAAAAAGCATTTATTTAGTACTAGCGTGTTGTGATTAAAAGAACCTAGGATTTGCAAACAAGCATACCTGGATTCACAACACTGACTCTCCTTCCTTGCTATCTGTGTAACAGCAGGCAAACTAGTAAATCTCTCTAAGCCTCAGTTTTCTCAACTGTAAAATGGAGGTAGATAATATCCTCCTCCCATGTATACGATGATTAAATGAGATAATGATGGATGAGTATTTGTCACCTAGAAGGCAATCATAAACAATATTTGCCTATGCATGCCTACCTTCTTATTTCTATATGGGAAAGTGGAGGAGATCCTAATGGGCAAAATACACACACACACACACACACACACACACACACACACACGAAAGGGAGAGAAGCACAAAAATGGTCTGCAGCTAGGAACTGCCACAACCTTCCATCAGTTCAGTGGAAAGGCCACTTACTTGCTGTATAACCTTATACAGAGAGAAGGCCTATGATACCTTCCTCATAGAATCATCACAGATATTAAATCCATCATCTGTAAAAGCCCACTCACTGTCTGTTACATTTACAACTTAGTAAATGGCAACTTGAGGTGGAGGTGGATGTGGTAGCATTGAATTAACAACAACATAACTCACAAGGGCTCACCAACTGGGACTCGGAAATATTTTCTTTGGAGATTGGATGGGGATTTGAAATGTATACAGATCAGGCATCTGGGAAACAGTCCTTAGATGGAAATCCTCATATGTAGCCCCATCCTGCTTGAGGTAGGCTTACCAAGCAAAGGTATGTGGTCCCTCCCTGGATCCCATGTTAACTAGCTGTTCTGCCTGCCTTTCTGGCTTAATTATGCTCCAATAATCCTGACAAGATTGGCTGGATTTCGCTGTAAATCATGACAGTGGAAATCCTAAAATAAAAGTAAGATTAATGCTATGACCTCAATCTTGGCATGAGGGCTCATTAATTGCAAATCATGGAGTTAATTGAATTCTAGGCATAGCACTGCTAGCTGGATTAAATTTCCTGAGACCTATTTCTTTAACGACATGAAGATAACTGAAATGCATCAATGACAACTAAGCCAAATATTGGGGGTTGCTAAGGAGACAGATAATTATTTCCCTGGCACACTAGCTGCCCAACCATCAAAAGAGTCGGATGTCATGCTTTGGAGGACTGTCCCTATTATTACAGCCACCCTCCCTGTCTTCTTCATGCTCAAGGGTGTGATGCAACCTCTCTGAACCTCAGTTTTGCAATAATACTTGTTAAGAATGAAATACACACATGTGCATGTATCTACAAGAAGTGCTCAATAAAAAGTAGGCATTATCATCATCCTATCTTTGACTCTTTGCCATCATTCATTATTGTAAGGACCCCTGGAGGGAGGAAAGAGCTGTGTGACTTTCCTTCTGCAGGCTGCACCCTGGTGGGCTGCAGAAATGGCACCACAAATGGCATAGAAAAATCACTGTACACCCAGGGCCTCCCTAAGTTCAAGGCAGCTTCTGTTTCTACTTAGCATCTGGCCAATGCAGGTGCTAGTACAGTAGTCCCCTCTTTTCCATAGAGGATACAGTCCAAGACCTGCAGTCGATGTCTGAAACCACAGATAATACCAAACCCAACTGCCATCAATTGGAACACGTTTCTGTTCATGTCTTCCACTCACAAACTGAAGCCTTTTCCATCTTAATACAGCACTTACACACTGTGGCCATAACATTTGCCGTCTGAGATGTAATGGCACAACTAGCGTGAATTCCCTTTTTCCTTCTTCACAATTTCACAGATAAAAGATTCACTCTTACCATAGATCTATACAACCTCGGAATATTTTTTTTTCCTTTTTTTTTATTAAGTCAGGAACTTTTGCCTTTTCACTTAAAGGGAGCACCCTGCAGCTTTTCTCTGGCATATCCAAGTTGCTGGCATCACTACTCTTGTGATTTGGGGCCATTATGAAGTAAAATAAGGGTCACTTGAACACAAGCACTGCAATAACCAAGATAGTCAATCTCATCACTTACACAACTACTAAGTGACTAATATGCAGTAACATAACACTGGACAAAGGGATGATGCATATCCCAGGCAGGACCAAGCAAGACGGTGCAAGATTTCATCACACTACTCAGAATGGCACACAATTTAAAACGTAATGGATTATTTCTGGAATTTTCATAACACTTTCAGACTGCAGTTGGCAGCAGATAACTGAAACCTTGGAAAGTGAAACCACAGGTAAGGTAGTCTACTGTTTATCTCTTCTCTTTCCTGCAGTCTGGTCTGTGTGGTTCCATCTGCTCTTCGGACAAAAAAATTATATGCATAAATCCTCATCCAACACTGACAGATGAGTATTGCGTCTCCACTACACAGGAGGAAGGAGGAAGACTCTGAAATGGAGAGGAATGTGTATCAGGCAGTGGCAATGGTACATACTAGAGCCAAGATATTATGGTGTTTCCTCACAGAACTGGGTGGTATATTAGAGAGGGGTGAGAGGTGAGACCGCAAAGGTGAATGATGCTCAGATCTCAAAAGGCTTGAAAGTCAAACTAACCTTCAAATGAGTAGATAAAGAAATTTAGAATCACTGGGAAGGGTGAGGGGATGCTTTTGTTGAAAGCTGCAACGCAAAATTGAGAATGCACAAGAAGAGCTTAGCGAGAAGAGAGTGCTTAATTTCTATCTGTATCAAGTATTCAGCATGACACTTACCAGGGTAAGCCATCTAAAAAAGGACACTTAATTGAACTGAATTGAATCCATCAAGAAACCAACCGTTTCTATTCACTTTTAAACCAATTTCAATTGCATTGAAGTGCAGCAAGATGATAACAGCAATAGCCATCACTTATTAAGCACCCTTTGATCCCTGGGAACTAGACTACAAGCTTTATGTCCATTATCTTACTTAATCTTCACAATTATGTTGCCAGGTAAGTTTGATTATCCCCTTTTTACAGAGGAGCAAAGTGAGAACTTGTCTTAGACCATTTGGGCTGCTGTAACAAGGTACTATAAATTGAGTGGCTTATTAAGAACAGAAATGTATTCCTCACAGTTCTGGAGACGAGAAAGTCCAAGATCAAGGTGCCTGCAGATTTGGTACCTAGTGAGGGCCCACTTCTTTATTCGTAGAAGGCCATCTTCTCCCTGTATCCTCCCATGGTGAAAGAGACAAGCAAGTTCTCTGGGGCCCTCTTTTATAAAGGCACTAATCTCGTTCACGATGGCTCTGCCATCACAACCTAATCACCTCCCAAAGGCCCTACCTCCAAATATTACCACATTAAGGATTAGGTTTCAGCATACGAATCTGGGAAAGGAGGGGACACAAATATTCAGCCCACAGCAGGACCCAACACAAAAATTTAGGTCATACAGCCAGGCTCTTCCCTAGGTCTGTCTCACTCCAAAGCCTGTGTTCCACTGACAACATTTTGCTGCCTCCTATTATATTTGTTAAAAGCTTAAAACATAAAAGGAAACAGTCAAACCCAAAAGCACTGCTGGAGAACAAAAAAGGCAGACCTTGGCCTGATGTCTGCTCTGCATTAATCTAAGGATATTTGCAAGAACAGATACCCAGGAGTGGAAAACTGCTATGCATTCATTGCATAGCAATGAAATTAATGAAAACTAGTTTCTAAGGCTTGAACAGGCAGGAGTGGAAAACTACAATCCAGCTATGATCGCGGTCCCTCATACGGACTTGGTCCCACAAAGGGATGATGACAGTGGCTCAAGATGCTCTTTCCTAATTCAGCCTCTTCTTGCTGCCCAGTCCCACCCACCCCACAGGCACACACAGCCTTTAGGGTCAATAGCTGCTGTCTTTGACTCTCATGTTCAAAAGCCACATGCACCAGCATTCCAGGGGTAGTGGCAGCAGAGCACAGAAGGTGGAGAAAGAGCATGAGCCCGAAGAACCAAACTGTAAATATGCTTTCCATCTTCCCCCAAAGAACCACTCTACAGACTTGGAAACCTGCCCATTGTCAAGTCCCTTTGTGGTGTGAAAGCATATCAGTGCTGACAAACCCAGGGTCACAGCCTTTTTTCTTTGAGAAGACTATGGACAAAAGAGCTGATAAGTCATTAGCAGCATCTGTTCTCCTCTGCTGCCTTTTTAGATCCCAGGTAACACAATCAGAGCTCACAGGTGCTGAAATTTCAAAGACAGGCACTAATAACCATAAAAAGGGTCTCCAAAAAATGCAGGTGACAGGCAAGCAGGTGGCTTTCCATCATGAACAATGTGTCCTCTGCAAAATCCACAGAATGGTAAGAATAGGTGGACAGATACATTGCAAGGGTTTGGTTTCCAAAGAAGGAACTAGGGCCACGGCTAGCTTATAGATTGGAAGAAGGCAATGCAGCCCTTTGGTGTCTGGTATCGGTCTTCACATCTTCACCAGGCTCCCGCTGTGTGCTAGGTTCATGCAAGATGCTTCACACACACTGTTTCATTTCACCCTGAAAAGGACCTTGCTAAACAGGCTATCAGTCCCAGTTAGTAGGTGCAGAAATGAGGCTCAGAGAGGTTGCATAACCCGCCCAAGCTAAGGGGTCTGGCAAACAGTGGTGCAAGAGGTTCCCAAGGTTAAATGTCAGCCTAGGTACCAGGCTACGCATCAGAATAGCCTGGGGTGCCTGTTTTAAAAAATGCAAATTTTCAGATTTCTTTCAAATCAGAATCTCTGAGAGTGGAGCCTAAAGTCTACATCTTTCAACACCCCTCAGTAGCTTCTGATAAATAGAAAGTGTAATAACACAGCCACAGCCCTATGCCACACTGTGTGACAGAGGACAGACAGCCCTAAATGAAGGTCAGGCAGAGTCGGGGAGAGAGGCAGAGAAGCTACCATTCTTTGGACACTTTTTTTCTGCCAAATGCTTCATATAGATTATCACACTTAATCATTACAACAACCTGCTGTGGTGGATATTATCATGCCCATTTTATTGAGGAGGAAATTGAGGTTTCCAGTGAAGTTAAATGACTGGATAAAAGTCACACCTCTAAGAAACACTGGGGTCAGAACACAAACCAGATCTGTGTGGCTCTAAATCTCATGCCCTTTCACTATCACATTCTTCCTTACCTCTTTTTGACAGAGTAGAGGTCTCAGTGCAATCGCCAATAGCACATAGATGGCTATAGCTATGGAAGGGCCCAAAGAAGACCTTGCCCAATATGAATCAGGCAGCAGAAATGGCTACATCCTGAGGGAGGCCAGCTCTTCCTCCAGCAGCTACCATTGCTGTTCTGATAAGAGCAGGAGCCTGGACTCACCAAATACAATGTGGCCAGCACAACAGTGGAGCCATCATCCCTCGTCTCTCAGCACTCTTGCATATTGAGAGTCCACTCCCTCCCAGGCAAGGGTCCAGGCATTTGGGAATCTGCATGATCTGACCCATAAGGTTAACCAACAGAGTTCAAGTTCCAAATACCAGTGTGCCCTTAAACATATGGCTTTCCTTCTCTGGACAAAGTCTCTTTCTATAAAATGTGGAGGTGGAATTTGCTGCTCTCCAAGGTCCCATGAACTCTGGGTGACCCCATGACTCATAGAGTCTATATAATGTGAGTATTAAATTGTGATTTGTGCAACTTATTAATGCTACAAGGCAAGGACTGTTAGGAGTATCACCAAACTGGACAAGGAGTCGAAGTATTTGGCTGCCACTAATGGTGACATTGGTGGAACAGAAACATTCAAATCTCCACCATGGCTTCTGTTTTTTATTTTTGCCCCAGAAGCCCAGGGGTGAGGGACTATTATCTAACAAGTTGGCCACCTGCAAGTGCCTTCTTTCCTCTTTCCCTGCATTTGGCACTAATCTCAAGTGACTGCCTGTTGACTGACCACTCCCCAGTTGCCCTTCTTGAAATCTTTAAGCATATGCACATTGCCTGCAAACTCCTAGAAGGCAAGATGGGGTGAGTCAAAGAAGACTCCATACACAGTGCCAAGCACAGGGCTTTGTATGTAGTGGTAGTAGTAGTATTCTAATATTCCGCTACTAAAAATAACAATTGTACCTAAAATCAGCTAAGATTTGAGTCCCTACTATGTATGAGGCATTATTCTAAATGCTTTACAGCCCTATAATGTACACGCCATTACTATCTTGCATTCGTAGATGTAGAAATAGACATAGAGGCTCACTTTCTTGCAGAGGTCACACAATTAATAGGCTAATTGTGGACAGTCTCACATGCCACTGCTGAATGAGAACACAGAGTTGGAGCTGTGTGGCCTTGGCATCAGACAAGATTCGGGTTCGTACTCCAGCAATTTATTAGCTGTTTCTTTAGATAAGCAGCTTAAACCTTTCAGTGCCTGTTCCTTCATCTGTGAAATAGGACAACAACATCCACCTCATTTTTTTTTTCTTAAGAACCCAACATTACACCTGGCCTATTTATTTACTCAGGTATCTATTGAGCTTCTACTGTGTGAAAGGTTCTGTGATAGGTGGTGGGAAAACAGAATAAGAAAGCATAATGTCTGACATCAAGCTGCTCACAGTCTACTGACAGCCAAACACAAATGAAAACAGTATATAAGACCATATGGGAAGGATAATGTGACGCAGAGGGCATCAATGGAGCACAGAGGAGAGCACCTGAGAGCAAAGAAAGCTGGAGTTTGCAAAGATGAATGAGGCTAACCAGGCCACATGGAAAGAAGGGCACTCGGGGCCAGGTGGTTCAATTCTATCAGTCAATCATGTCATACCTGGGCATTAGCTTCAACTCTATTCTCATACCTCACATCCAATCTTTCAGAAAATAGTGTCTGTACTACCTCCAAATTTTATCCGAAATTTAAGATATGTATAGAGCTCCCACTTATCCAAGAGAGAGTGGATAGATACACACACATATTTACAAAGTGAAAAGATAAACCCAAAACTTGAAAGAGAGTTACCTGTGAGGGAGGGAACAGGGTAGAGGGGGCAGGGACAGAAGCTGTTTCTTTGAATACAACCTGCTTTAAAGATTTGAATTTGAAACTATGTAAATATTCTATATAATTACAAACATAAATTTTAAAGCAACCCCTCAAAAGTGATAGCAAAATGAGCCAAACCAACCCAGCTTAGTATGAAATTGATGATATAACCACACAGAGAGAAACTACCTCAAGTAACTTTAAGATACAAAGTAACTGTCTTAAAGCAAAATATATACAACCAGTACCCCCACCACCACCAAAAGAAAAACAAAAAACAAAACTACCTTAACCTGTTTTGGTGATAGTGTTGGTATTGTGATTCTGTGGCTGTGTATTGTGGCACAAAGCAAATAAGTAATTACACTGGTGCAACTGAGAACCAGAATTTTGGCATGGGAGAAAGAAATATAATTGTGAATCCATAATGTATTTTACCTTTTAAAAAATTTGCTCCTAGCTCTGTCCACTGAGAAGGCCTAGACACAAAAACCAGCTCAGGAGCAGTGAGCACCCCTCACACCAGAGGTCTTTATGCACCATTTCCCTCTAAAAGGAACTAGAGCCCTTTGAAAAAGTGGCTGATTCTAAGATTGGGGCAGAAAACATACAAGATGAGCCTGGAACATCTGGTGATACCAGAAAGCAAGGAAAGCATCAAAGACTACTTGAGTGTGTTAGAAGCATTCAGGAGCTAGCTTCAGAGGCTCCCATGACCAAAGATGGTCCATTTAGTCATTAGTAAGAATACTGATGTCCCTCTATATACTCGAGAGATTGGATCCAGGGCCCTTCAAGGATACCAAAATCCAAGGATGCTCAAGTCCTTATATAAAATCGTGTAGTATTTGCATATAACCTACACACATCCTCCCATATACTTTAAATCATCTCTAGATTATGTATAATACCTATTACATTGCAATGTAAATGCTAGACAAATCATTGTTTTATTCTGTACTTTTTTGTTGTTGTTGTCTTGGTGTTTTTCCAAATATTTTTGATTCAGGGTTGGTTGAATCCACAGATGTGGAATCCCCAGAGGGCCAACTGTAATAACTGCAGTGGACTGAAACATGAATGTGTGTTTAAAAATATGAGTTCATAATAATAAAATGAAGAGAAAAAGAGAAAGAGAGAAGCTTCATAAGTCACCCTCAGAGAAGGATAGGGGACCTACTTTTTATTTTTGAAAACTGGTAAATAAAGGGTAAGAATCAAGCCTTTTTCCTTTGTTTGCTATATGAACTTTACTCCAGGATAACCAAATATCTGATGAGGAAGAGTTTTTCCTCATAGAAATAGTCCAGCAAACAAAAAAAAAAAGTAAGAATTACATTTGCAGCCCCTAATAAAACAATGGCACTAGACAGTGATGACAAAAAACAGAAACAACCACACATTGTATATCCCCGATGGAAATACAAAACACGACCTACGAGATAGTCTTGCAAAAAGCTAATCTGAATGTAAGTCTGATCAAGCCTTTAATCTACCGGGAACACAGAGGACAAAGGAACAGGTTAAGTGACACCACAGGGATGCAGTCAGCAAAATCTAGACTTGGGGAAAATCTACAGTACAAATGGCCTGGTTTTTTTTCCCAACAACAACAACAACAACAAAAATTACACAGGAACAAAAGAGACATAGAGAAGAAACTTTAAAACCAAGCAACTTCAATGCATAAACATTATTTGGATCCTGGTTCAAACAAACTATAAAAAGGCAAAAATAAGATTCCCACTTAAAAGAATCAGGAAAATCTGAACAGGCTGGATATTTGAGGATAGTAAGGACTATTAAGATTCTGGATGAGATGAGAATGTTGTGACAGTGTTTTTTAAAAGGAGCCCTTTATTGACTGATTGACTGATTGAGCAGGTTCTCACTCCAAGCCTCAGTCTCCCCTGTAACTAGGACTACAAGTTCATGCTATCATGCCCAGCTAGGCCCTTACATGTTAGAGGCATATTCAAATATTTAATGACATTATGGCTGGGATCTACTTCACAATAATCCAGAGGGGCAAGAACAGCTTTAGAAAAAATGAAATTGCTCATTAGTGGATAATTGTCGAAGCTGAGTAATGGGGACATGGGTTTCTGGTTTCTACCTGTGTTTCCCCTTTTTACTTTTTTGTATATTTGAATTTAGAAAACTATATATATTTAGGTACTACATATATCATGTACAATGTTGACATGGTTTGGCTGTGTCCCCACCCAAATCTCATCTTGAACTGTGGTTCCGATAATCCCCATGTGTTGTGGGAGGGACCCAGTGGGAGGTAACTGAATCATGGGGGCAGTTACCCCCATGCTCCTGTTCTCGTGATAGTGGTGAGTTCTCACAAGATATAATAGTTTCATAGGGGACTTTTCCTCCTTTTGCTTGGCACTTCTCCTTGCTGCTGCTGCATGAAGAAGGATATGTTTGCTTCCCCTTCTGCCATGATTGTAAGTTTCCTGCAGCCTCCCTAGCCATGCTGAACTGTGAGTCAATTAAACCTCTTTCCTTTAATAAATTACCCAGCCTTGGATATGTCTTTATTAGTAGCATGAGAACAGACTAATACAAATGTATATAATATTTTTATATTACCACATACAAAGAGGTATAATCAACCTTTTCTCACTGCCTATAGTGCCACCAACCTGGTCTAAGCCAATCACTTCTCATCTGAATTATTGCAATATCTTCTTCACTGCTGTCTCTGCCTCCACCCTTGCCTCCCTAAGGTGTGGTTCATAAAGAGAAACAAAGGTGTTCTTTTAAGAAATAAGGCAAATGTTACTCTTCTGCTGAAAATTTTCCAATCATTTCCCATCTCACTTAGAATAAAAATCAAAGCTCGCGCAATGGCCTACAAGGCTCTATAGGAACAGGCCTCTGTACCCCTCTTGCCTTATCTCCTACCTTTCTCCCTGCGTCTTTGCTGCAGCCACACTACTCGTCTATTCAACATGTACTTCCCTCAGGGCCTTTGCACTTACAATTCCACTATTCCCCCAGTGAGCCACGCGGCTTCCCTCCTCACTTCCTATAGGTTTCTCCTTAAATGTTTCTTTTTCAGAGATGCTTTCCTGATCACCCTATATGAACTCTCCTTAGTCTACTCTTTTTTCTTCACGGCTCTTTTTATCTTGAGGGTTTTTATTTTTTCTGTCTCTATCTACTACAAAAGAAGCTCCATAAAAGGACAGACATAGGCTGGGCCTGGTGGCTCATGCCTGTAATCGCAGCACTTTGGGAGGTCAAGGCAGGCGGATCACAAAGTCAGGAGATCAAGACCATCATGGCTAACGTGGTGAAACCCCGTCTTACTAAAAATACAAAAAAAAAAAAATTAGCTGGGCGTGGGTGGTGTGCGCCTGTAGTCCCAGCTACTCGGAAGGCTGAGGCAGGAGAATATCTTGAACCCGCGAGGTGGAGGTTGCAGTGAGCCAAGATCGTGCCACTGCACTCCAGCCTGGCGACAGAGTGAGACTCTGTTTAAAGAAAAAAAAAAAAAAAGACAGACATAGTTGATTTGATCACTGTTATTTGTACCAGAGTATCTGGCTCAATACATATTGTTAATTCTGACCTTAGATTCTGAACTATAAATTGGTCAGCAATACTGCACAGGGTGTTTACCAAAGGGTGGTAGGATAGGCAACAAGCACATTATGGAATGCTTGCATGCCCCTTTAAGACTTGAATTTTATCTTGTAGGTGATGAGAAGTTTCACACCTATAATATAACAGGCCTTCAAATTTTATAGTCATTGTTACCACCACCATCATTTTACAGCATGGGAGGTTATGGAGTAAGAATGGGTAGATACAAAGAAATCTGAGAGTCACCTTGTTTCCTCCCACTGTTCCTATAGGCAAAACCCAAATCCAACCCACCTTTCTACACACCCACTACTCCTTACTTAGTATCTTACTCAGTTCAGGCCATTTCCATCTCTAGCCTCCTAACAGCTTTGGACCCCTCCAATCCTCTCCAGAGGGATGAGGCATGTTGTTAAAATACAAATTTTATCTTATCACTCCCGTTCATAGAAATTTTTAGAGGCACAGGGTTACATGGTTTACAAAGCCTTGAATAACCTGGGAACTGCTTTCCTTCCCATTCTCACCTCCTGCATTCCTCCTTCACCCATCTTTGCCCCAGTCCCAGGGAAACTCTTTGCAGTTCTCCCAACAGCCCGTGCTCTCACTTTCTTCTGGATCACCGCATGTATTTTCCTCAGTAGCCTGCACTGTCTCAAGAGTATTTTTGCTGTCTCCAGCAACAATTCTGAAAGTTGCATGCATTACATTCTGTGCTTTATCTCAAGAAAGCCATTTTAAAAGACCTCACATTATTCACCACCTTGCCAGAGGCTGTCAAGCTTAAGGATTTTGTAACCCATGTTCTCCTACTTCTCCTGTCAAACATGGTTACATGTTATACTTGCAGTTTGTGTATCTGCCTACAAAATTTTGCAAGTATAATCTCATCTGGGCATCTTTTTCTTTTGACAGTTTTGTTATCATCCTCTCCAAAGAAGGGATAGTTACATTAACCTAACGATAAATTTGCCATCTTTTTCTCAATTATGTGATCTAAGTCAAAATGTATCTTCAGTAGAACTTTTTATAGTGAATAAATTAGATACAGACATGGCTGAAGCCTTATGGTTACTTTGCAAAATAATTTTATTTATTTCTATTCATATCTATCCTTTTTACTTTAAAAGGTCATGCAAACAACCTACAAATCCTTAATAATGATTTTCCAGGCTCTGCCTTTGACATGATATAATCAAACACAAGGCAATATTAAAGACTGAAGCTTCAAATAGTCACAAGGAATTCTGAGCTGAGGGACATTGTAGAGAGCATTATTAGGGTTAGGATGAAACAAAATTTGCAGTTATTTCCTCAAACATTTAAAGCAATATCCATGGAGGAAAAAAAAATCCTAAGTCATTGTTCTAAAGATGGCACTGATGCTTTTTAAGGTTTTAAAGCTATCATGTTTTCAGGATTTAAGACAATTTATATAATAACATACGGGTTGGAATCCCGATGCTGTCACCTGCTTGCTATGCTGTGACCTTGGGCAACTCACTTAACCCCTTTAAGCCTCAGTCTCCTCAGCTGTGAAATGAAGACAATTATACCCAGTTTACAAGGCAGTTGTAAAGCTGAAGTAAAATGTTATCCATAGAAGTACTTTATAAACTAAAAATAAAGCAGTGATGGTTTTTATCCATGGTCAATGCCAAAGAGCAATGCAATCAGAAGATAAAACTCCTCTCAGTACTTCGGTTCTCCACCTACGAGTCCATTTATTTCACCAAGCTGTTATTTTTATTGTTATTGGAAGCATATCCAAAGATCTCTGCTGAGCCCAGATGAGTAATAAGGCCAAAATGTACTATTCAATTCCCACTATTAATTTGGGGGATAGTGTTGTTTTTGTTTGCTTTTAAAAAAACATTTCTTGGTATGTTAAAATTCTTAATATGAGCAGGTGAATTAACATTAGATTGAGAACCCAAATGCCCAAACTGGAACAATGTACAAATCTGCTAGTGATGGATGGATTGTGGCCAGTGGAAGCACATCTGTGAGTCTGTAACCACTGTAAATAAAAGAATCCACCATTGTTCTCAGAGCAACTCAACTCCTCTGCCAACAGAACATCTTTGAGCACCCTCCAATTTTCTATAAATCCCAGGTTTGAAATTCTGATATAATCTTCTAATTTCTAACCCTCTAAGTATTTGAATGTACGTTAAGAGGAAAGAGTCACTTAAATATTTTTATAAACCACTGCTAATATCAAAAACAGCACTGGTATCTTATGTTCAAAGCCTCTGGGAGATGTCAAGAGAATTCTGGAAACAAAACAAAACAAAAAAAACACTGTCAATTTAACCACTTCCTAAGGTGAGTTTAATGAAGCAAAAGAGAATAACACTTCACCAAGGACACTGATCATTTTTCCAAACATACCTAAGCAAAGTATATTTGACAAGCGTGACAGCACTTACTCCTAGCATTATTGAGGCCTGTCCAAAAATTGCCGTTGATTCAGGGGAGGGGAGTCATTGCTGATAATGAGCTTCTGTCTCTCCTTCCGTAATAAATAAATTCCAAAATATGTAAGACTCAAACATGATATTAGTTTATTTCTTGCCTCTTTTTCATTTCTGCACTTAAGGCATTTGCTTTTGCTATCATCCTGCTAAGAAACCTCTACCTGGCTCTTTGCATAATTGATTCCTTTTCATCCTCCAGAAAGGTGCCCCACCACCCAATTCACCAAACGTTTGTTATTCTTAAATATCAAGGTTTCCATTGCCCCTTCCTGTAGTCTACATATCCTGATTTGGAGCTGGAAAAGAGAGTTAACCATAGAGACATCCTTTCTTCATTGAGTGCCCCACGTTAACATTTGTATTCGTAATCCATCTGCCATATTTATAGGAGAAAAAAAATTTAAAAAGCAAAGCTATAAGCAAAAAAGAGTCCAGAAAAGCCTGTGATCTCTAACCAGACACAGCAAAGCTGGCAAACTCAGGCCTGGAACCAGGTCCCAGGTCCCAGGACATGCTGAGAGACTCCAGGACATGAGGAAATAGAAGTCCAGGCCCCCCCAGAGTAAGGAACATGTGGCAGCAGGAGAATGAAGATTTCCAGCTTGGTATCATAACAATGTGGAGCAAATCCCAACATTACCACATGGAATAAGTCCTGTGATAGCTCTGTGCCTCAGTTTCCTCATGGAAAAGAAAATAAACCAAGAGCACTGCTGACAGCAAAATGGAATACAGGGACAATGGTCTTTGCCAATTTGGTCACCCAATATTTTGTCTGACCTGAGCTCATACTCAGCAAACATGGTATAAAAGCCATCCCTTCAACTTGGGGCTCATAACCTATCTTAAACAACATTTGCTGCTCAAGTTATAATTAGAAATGTCTGGTTATTATGAGGAACATGAGAGGGCTTTATGAAGTGTTAATGAGCAACTCTGGTCTGTCTGGCATCAAACTGAGTGGGCAATGACCTCAGGCTCCAGTGCACTAAGATAAACAGGTGGCAGCTTCACCCTGTAATCGCTGTACAACCTTGGGAAGTTGTTTCACCTCTTTGGAAAACTTGGTTTGTAAATTTAGAATTAGTTATCATACCTGCCCCCTAGGATTCATCTGAAAATTAAATAAGAGAATGCATGTTAACATATGCCTAGCAAACAAATAGTAAGCCCCAAATAAATGGCAGGTATTTTTATCATTGTGACCTCCACACCAAAGATTCTGATTTTCAGTCTTTCACAGAATCCTGAGAATTTCTGGGAGATCCTGCTTTGCCACTTTTCCTAGAAATGGAACTTCATAAACCTGGGAAGCCAATGGCTACAAAGAACCAACCAGGACTTGTTTCCCTGGAGCTGAAGAAGGAGGGGTATGGTAGAGACTGCTATTTGCCAACCAAAATCCATTCTCCCCTCCTTGTTCTTCTTAGGAATATTTTTAGCTCGTCGCATGGACTACCAGAATAAAAGACTACATTTCCCAGGCTTTCCTTCAGCCAGGTACGACCATGTGATTAAGTTCTGGCCAATGGGATGAGAGTGGAATTAAGACTGCAACTTACACGCTGTTTCTCAGAGAGAAAAAGTAAGCCCTTCCCTCGCCTTCACATTGGCTGGAAAACTAATGTTTAGTTGGCCATCTTAGATGACGAAGAAGAGAGTAATACCCTAAAGATTAAAAAAGCAGCATGATAGAAGCAGCTTGGCACCCTAGCTACTTTATACAACATCCATTCCAGATCCGACTTTTATATGAGCAAGAAATAAGCCTTCAAGGCTGGGCGCGGTGGCACACGCCTGTAATCCCAACACTTTGGGAGGCCGAGACTGGCGGATCACGAGGTCAGGAGATTGAGACCATCCTGGCTAACACGGTGAAACCCTATCTCTACTAAAAATACACAAAATTAGCTGGGCATGGTGGCGGCGCCTGTAGTCCCAGCTACTTGGGAGGCTGAGGCAGGAGAATGGCTTGAACCCAGGAGGCGGAGCTTGCGGTGAGCCGAAATTGGGCCACTGTACTCCAGCCTGGGCAACAGAGAAAGACTCCGTCTCAAAAAACAAAACAAAACAAAAAAAAAAGAAATAGACTTTCATCTGCTTAAGCCACTGTTATGATGGCCTTTGTGACATATGCAACCAAACCTCTAGCCTCATAAATATTGTAGACAATGTGCACAAAGAAAAAGAAAGGCAGAATATGGTAGAGGATTGCAACATGTTCCTGGTACATAGTGGCATCTCATCATTGTTTGCAGAATTAAACATCCTCTGTTGAACTCCATGCAATCAACCCGAATTTGGAATATTGAGGTCAGCTTCAAAAATAGGAGGCACACAGGCCAGCTGGAGAGTGTCCATAAGGAGAATGACTAGGGTAATAAAAAGTAAAGAAAACCCATCTCATGAGGAAAGACTGAAAGAGCTAGAAAGAGAAAGGTAAGCCAGAAAGGCAAGATTAGGTTTCAAGTAACTCAAGGGCAGTAAGTTAAACAGGGCTTCTCTCTTTGGACTCAAGTTTCTTCATCTGTAAAATAAAGAGGTAAACCCAGAAAAATCCCTTTTAGGTACAGCATGAGGGACCTATAAATTCAAAAGAATGTATGTTGCACCAAGGGAAAGAACTACAAGCCACCTAGATACAGAACTGAGAGAGTGAAGGGCAGATTTCCACTGAACATCAATAAACATCCCAGCAATGTTTCTTGTCCAGCAATAGAATGGCTGCCTTCCAAAGTCCAGAGCTACCTAACTAGAGGGTTCAGTCAAGAACTAGACTTGGATACAGGTCCCTAGAGGATGTTCTAAGTCTTGGAAGAATCAGGAAATTAAAACAGATCCCTAGAGATGCAGTTCCTTCTTGCAGACAGAGCAAAAAAGGTGAACTTTGTAACAGACAGTTTTGGATTTGAATCTATTTCTGCCACTAATCTGGCTACACGATCCTGAACAACTTATTCAGGAATAATAAGTTGTTCAGGATCATGAGTGGGAATACTGTATAAATACAATATTTATATTTATTATATTGAATAAAATATTAAAAATATTCCTATACATATTTTAATAAAATATACTTCAAGTTATGTTTTACTATCCCCATTTTATCCCCAGATGCTCTCTGGGTCAGCTGTAGCCATTTCCTCTTTTGAACAGAGCTGAAGCTATTATAATATATATCAAGCACATAGCACAATATAGGCTCATAGCTACTTAAAGTAATCATCTTACTGACTTTATAAATGAAGGAAAAGAAAAATGTGACAAGCTCAGAAGATGAAGTTAGTCATCCTGGTGGAACCATCAGCAGGTAGAAGGCTGGAATTGGGCACAATCAACATAAACAAGGGCTTGCCACATAAGTGCTGTGGCCGAAGTGCAGGCAGGATCAAAAGCCACTCACAAGGTGGGAAAGGAAGGAGAAGCGGCCATTGCAGGATCATCAGACACTGGGAAAGGACTCTCATCCAGACCTCCATCTACCCATTCACTATTTATTTATTATCTATGAGCAATTATAAAATGAGAAAAGTGCCACAAAGAGGAAAATACAGAACATAATCAGGGCACAAAGAAGCACCTGACCCAGACTTAGAAGGTCAGACAAGAGTTTCCAGTGGACATGATATCTAACTTGAGACCTGCATTACCAAGGCAAAGGTGTTACGGGGCAAAGGTTGGGAAGACAGCTCAAGCTGATGATGTGTTTGGAGGAGGGTGGAGAATTATAAAATGCCTCCCACTCCTCCTCTAAAACTTCTATATTGAGGAACCAAGAAGACTGCTAAGTCCTTCCCAACTCTAAGGTTCCACCATTATGGCCTCAGATGCAAAAGCAAAATAAAATAAATGCCCGACCCATTGGGGTCAAGTACTTTTTTAAAAGAATAGTGGCAGGTGTGGATGGCAACATGGGGGTTCCTTATGGTGTTGGAACTGTTTGGTACCTTGACTGTGATTCAGGAACCCACATAGTTGAGAAAATAGTGTGGAACTTAACATACACACATGAGTACACATGCAAATGAGTACAAGAAACTAGGGGAATCTGAGGTGGAACGAATCAATGTCAACATCCTGGCTGTGATATTACACTAGAGTTTTGCAAAATATACCACTGGGAGAAATGGGCAAAGTTTACAGCTATCTCTCTGTACTGTTTCTCACAACTGCATGTGAATCTATAATTATTTCAATAAAAATTTCAGTTACAAAAGTAGATGCAGATAAAGAACATAGTTACATAAAACTGTAGTTATGAAATATAAATTCATCATTGAGATTTTAGCAAAACACATTTAAAATTTGTTAATTACTGATATCTACTACCCAAATATTGTTTTGTAATATTTTGATAGTTCCTTCATTTTTAGACTAATACACATCTTTACAATAATTTTCCTATGTAAATACAAATATATGTGTGTATGTGTTTATGTAGTTTAATTCAATGTATAAAGACTGTTTCTTGTTTATACTACTAATTTTATATTTTGAATATCTTCCCATCATATTAAAAATTTATTGAGCTGGGCATGGTGGCTCACGCCTCTAATCCCAACACTTTGAGAGGCTGAGGTGGGAGAATTGCTTGTGCCCAGGAGTTCACAACCAGACTGGGCAACATGGTGAGACACCATCTCTACCATTAAAAAAAAGCAACTTTTTTGAGTTGGTAATACTATATAGGCATATCTTAGTTTTCTATTTGGTAATACTACATAGGCATATCTTAATATTCTATTTGGTAATACTATATGGGCATATCATAATTTTCTAAACCAATCCTCTATTTTGGGACATTTTAGGCAGTTTCAAGTGTTTTTCTATTATAAATAATTATGTAATAAATTAAATCAAACTGGTTGCCAATATTACCCAGACATGAAATGTTGAGTTAGAATGGATGGTAGAAATCACCTGACCAAACAATTCCCCTAAAACAAACATACACCCACACATAAATCATTTTATAGTTATGGAAATTATGGCCTATTCTCACTTTAGGATGTAAGGACAATGCACAATTTCAAAAGTTCTCTATTTAAAACAGAAAAAAAGCATGAGCCACCAACCTTGCTCTAAGTCACTTTTGACCTTGTAGAATCAAGTAGAAAAAGTATAAATGGAGAAAACAAGAGTTTGAAACATGATAGATATGGTTCATATTCATATTCTCTATGACCTTGGGGAAGCCGTGTAACTATTTTAAGTTTGTTTCTTTATCCATAATTATATCCTCCTCCTTACTAGGTCCTCAGTAAATATTTCCTGTCTAAACGAATGAATGAAGTACTGGCATATGCAGGTACTCAACTGCTCACTGTTACTCAAACATGCAAAGTTCTTCCAAGCTTCTAGTTTGGAATGTCCTCCCCCATCTCCCTCTCCACCAAGAAATCTTGCCTACACTGCAAAGCCAGCACTAATGTCCCCATTCAAGAAGCCTTCATCAACCCTCTTACTTTTTACCTGTACTGTCTATCTCATACTTTGTTATAGTTATATAGACCCTTCTTTCTACTGCTGGTAAAAGAGCAACTTGAGGGCCAGTTTTCCTCCTTTTTCATCTTTGAGTAGGGCTTTGCCATCCATCTCAACATAAGACAGGTTCCTCACATGCCCTAGTCTGTCTAAAATTTTGGATGAGACGCACACAAATAATACCTATATGTGTAATTGGATTCTTTCCTCCTGGAATTTAGAATTTGGGATTCAGAGACAGATGATCGTTGAGAACTGGTTGCTTTAAGCAGTGGCATAGAAATTCAGGACCTCTGAGGAAGCCATGTACACAGAGAAGACAATAAAGCTGGTCTTCAGAGAGAGTGAAGGGCAGAGCAAATGCACAGGAAGGGAAACAAGAACTATGGGGCACTGGAGAGGGGGCTTCCAGGAGGTGCTCACTTCTGGGGTACCAGGTGCATATGGGCTGGCTCCACTGCCCCTGGGCCCCAGGAATTACTCTGTGACTTTATGACAACTACCTTCCTTTGGTTTTTAAGTAATATGTTTTAAATAGACTGACTAAGAAACGGGTAAAGACTACAATGCTTTTTCCTCCATCCCTTTATCATTCTATTTCTTCCTGTGAAAATACTCTTTCCAACTTTATCTGGAATGTTCAAATCCTACCCATCCTTCAAGACCTCAACCTAACCAAGAAGGGGCCCATCTCTACCTTCTCTGAACTCCCTCATAGAGCACCCTGTCTGTGTTTGGCACATGTACATTAGAGCTACTCCTGTCTTGCTTTAGCCTCCTTTTAAATCACTTCCTCTCTCTAGGCCTCAGTTTCCTCACTCAAAGTGAGTGGACTGGATGAGATTGCTGGGTGGCAAACAGGGTTCTACACAGTCCCAGGTTCTCTCCCAGACAACACTGTTGTGGGGAGAGAGGGGAGTGGTCCCAGAAAGCAGTGTCCAGACTCCCACCCTTACTTTAACAAGAGCTGCTGTTCTCATATACAGTCATGTGCACATAATGATGTTTAGGTGAATGACATTGAATATATGACAGTCATCCCATAGGATAATAACAGCTGAAAAACTCCTATCACCTAGTGATGTTGCAGCCATCATAACATCTTAGTGCAGTGCATTACCTTTTCTATATTTAGATATGTTTTGATATATACTTACCATTGTGTTATAATTGCCTACAGTATTCAGTACAGTAACATGCTATACAGGCTTGTAGCCTGGGAGCAATAGGCTATAGCCTACAGCCTAAGTGCATAGCAGGCTATACCATGCAGGTTTGTGTAAGCACACTCTATGATGTTTGCACAACAAAATTGCCCAAAGATGCGTTTCTCAGAACGTATGGCTATATTAAGCTATGCATATCTGTATTTTATATACTCAGAGTCTGGCTAAGGCTATATTGAGAAAAGGAATCCAGTACTAATCAAACTTGAAACTACTAAACTAGAAAATCCATAAGGCTCCAAGATTCCTTAGCAGTAGGAGTAGTACAGTACAAATAACAAAAACAAGAATGCAAATTTCATTGAGCTAGACACTCTCCTAAACACTGTGTTCATCAACATTTTAATCATCACACAATCATATGACCTAGATATTCTCAACTCCATCCTAAAGCAAGAGGCTAAATCACATAAACTAGAAGTGGCAAAGCCAGGCTTTGAGCCCACGCAGCAGAGATCCACATCTGAGTTCTTAACCACAATAATATACTGTCTTCTAAGCTCCTTTAAGAGGAAATATCTTAGCTTTTGTTTCTTTTCCTTTTTTATCTGACACAGCACAGTACTTGGCCTTCTGGTCACTTAACAGTGTTTGCTGAATGAATAGATGCTTGAAGGAACAAAGGAAGTCTACCTTGTATTCCATGAAAACTGAGACCCAAACTTCTAGGACCTCGGCTGCCTCCAGGTGATAGCCCTAGCCAAACAGCCCTTTTATAACTTAGATGCTTTCCACGCCATCTTCCTGAAAAGCAAAGAACCTCCTGCAGCCTGGTAGAAATTCCTGTAGGGTATAGTTCAATTTATAGGGCCGACCACTAAGTACCATTAGCTTGATGAGTCCATAGATGCATACTTCACCAGGTTCATTAACTTCAATTCACATTCAATATATTCCCTATATCAGGGTTTCCCTACCTCGGCACTATTGACATTTTGGGCAGGAAAGTTCTTTGTTGTGAGGAGCTGTTTTGTACACTGTAGCATGTTTGGCAACACCCTGGCCTCTACACACTAGAGACCAGTAACAGTTCCCCCCACTATTGTGTCAACTAAAAATGTCTCCAGACATTACCAAATGTCCCAGGAGGAGGGCATGAAATAGCCCTTCATTGACAACCACTGCCTTACATGAACTAGCTTTTAAACAAACACTGGGAAAACAAGAAAAAGAGGCTGGGTGCAGTGGCTCACGCCTGTAATCCCAGCACTTTAGGAGGCTGAGGTGGGAGCATTGCTTGACCTCAGGAGTTTGAGACATGCCTGGCCAAGATGGTGAAACCCCGTCTCTACTAAAAATACAAAAATTAGCCAACCATGGTGGTGGGTGCCTATAATCCCAGCTACTCAGGAGGCTGAGGCAGAGAATTGCTTGAACCCGGGAGGTGGAGGTTGCAGTGAGCGGAGATCACACCACTGCACTCCAGCCTGGGCAACAGGGCAAGACTCCATCTTAAAAAAAAAACAAAACAAAACAAACAAAAAAAACTTAGCTAGGCACAGTGGCGTGCACCTGCAGTCCCAGCTATGAGGGAGGGTAAGGCAGGAGGATCGCTTGAGCTTGGGAAGTAGAGGCTGCAGTGAGTTGAGATCGTGCTATTTGCACTCCTGCCTGGGTGACAGAGTGAGACCCTGTCTCAAAAAAATAAAAACAAAATAAAGAAAGAGAAAAAACTTATGAACAATCCCAAAATGGATATAACAAAGACAAGGCTCAGTGCCTTGTAAACTGAAGAGAGAAAATTCTCCACCTTGAAGAAACCTCAGGATAAGAAAAATATTCTCAACACTGCCTTACTTCACTTGAACTTCAGCACAGCCAACACTTATCAAGTTATCCACTATAGGGCAAGGAATACAGTGAGCAGTTTTCTATTCCTTATTCCATTTGTTCTTCCTAACAATCTGATAAGAAAGGCATTATTGGCTGGGCATGGTGGCTCACTGTGCCTGAACAATAATGTCTGTAATCCCAGCACTTTGGGAGGCCAAGGCAGGAGGCTCATTTGAGCCCAGGAGGTTGAGACCAACCTGGGCAACATAGTAGAACCTCATCTCTAAAATTTAAAAATTAGCTGGGCATGGTGTCGCAGTCTTGTAATCCCAGCTACTTGGAGGCTGAGGTGGGAAGACTGCTTGACCCCAGGAGGTGAAGGTTGCAGGGGGCTTTGATCATGTCACTGCACTCCAGCCTGGGTGACAGGGTAAGAACCTGCTTCAGAAAAAAGAAAAGAAAACAAAGGAAGGAAGGTGTATTAATCTAGTTTCACATCGCTATAAGGAACTACCTGAGCCTGGGTAATTTATGAAGAAAAGAAGTTTAACTGACTCACAGTTCTACAGGCTTAACAGGAAGCATGACTAGGAGGCCTCGGGAAACTTACAATCATGGCAGAAGGCAAAGGGGAAGCAAGACACGTCTTACATGGTGGCAGGAGAAAGAGAAAGTGAGA
This sequence comes from Homo sapiens, assembly GCF_000001405.40. Classification (NCBI taxonomy): domain Eukaryota; kingdom Metazoa; phylum Chordata; class Mammalia; order Primates; family Hominidae; genus Homo; species Homo sapiens. The sequence goes on along the minus strand of NC_000001.11, from coordinate 65,323,379 downwards.
AAGGAAGTCCACATTTTAAAACCATCAGTTCTCACTCACTATCATGAGAACAGCAAGGGAGAAAGCTGCCCCCATGATTCAATCATCTCCCACCAGGCCCCTCCTCCGACAAATGGGGATTACAATTCGAGATGAGATTTGAGTGAGGACACAAAGCCAAATCATATTAAAAGGCATTATCTGTTTTACAAAGGAGGAAACTGAGGCTCAGAGGATTTAAATGACTTGCCCAAGGTCACAAAGCTAGTCAGCAATGTTAAAAACTTGAATCTAGAACAACCACTGGCTCCAACTCCAATGCTTTCCCCACTGCTGTAATAAAATTTTCTCATTCACACTTCATGCATTAGACAAAAAGGTATATCCTAAATGTTAACAATGGTTATTCATGAAAAACAAGTTTATCAGTTATTTTTATTTTTTCTTTGTGTTTTCTGGATTTTCCAAATTGTTTTGCCTTGAATATGTATTGCCTACCTAATGAAAAGCTATTCAAATTAATTTCTGAAAACAAAAATAATTCACAGAAATATCAACCTTTAATGCCAGTTTCAAGTAAACCATTATCATCATTTCTCATGTATGAGTCTACCAAAGATTAAGAAGTTTGTCAATACTCAGCTTTGACAAGAATGTGGGAAAACAGGTAGTCTCATATACTGTTAGAAACTTAATTTAGTGCAAGGTTCTTAGCAACAATGCAGGATCTATCATAATGTGAACTGCATATGTTCTTTCTCTTAGTAATTCCACTTCTAGGAATTTTTCCCACAGGTATACTGCATATACAATATATAAAAATATATGCTCAAAGATATTTACCCCCTATCAATAGAGGAATTTGGACAGTGGAATTTAAAACAATCGTTAGAGAAAATAAGGTACATCTTTAGGTACTAATATAGAAAGTTATCTATGACAATGTTAAATAAAACATCACATTATATAATAGCATGTATAGATGGATTCCAGGAATTCAAGTGTACATTATATATATGATTGGATGTATGTATATGTGAATATGCAAGAATCCATGTCTGTGTGAGAAGATAGAAAAAAATGGATTTTTATTTTCATTTTTATACTACTCTCTGAATTGTTTTAAATATTCTTTTCATTAACCTGTATCACTGCTATAAACTAAAATAGGTTTGGGGGGGTTAATTTTTAAGAGCCAAGAGGCCTGGCTTTCATGCAATGGCTTGAAAACAAAGCAAGATATAAAATAGAGCTGTCTTCCGTTACAACTGCAAATGCTCACAAAACGAGACAGTGTGTGAAAGTTTCCCAGCCTCTGTGTGCCAATGAGAGGCATAATGGAGACAGTTCTCTCCTGGCACATTCAGAGACAAAGCCAGGCTCCTATCTCCTGTTAGGAGATTTTAATGGCTGAATTTTAAGACCAATAATTACAGTAAAATCCTGCTATACTTTCAAGGCAATCTAAACCAATTTCCCTGGCAATTAAAACCCAACTTTTCCTGTCCTATCCCTCCAGCTTGTCTCTTCCTAAAGTAGCTGATATATCTTGGCTACAGGGTGCCCAAGATGTCAATTCCTCTTCTGAAAATCTCTCTCATGTCCCAATATGGCAGAAGACCTGAGTTCTGCTGCTAGTTTCACTGTGTATAAGCTCATTGAACCTAATTGAACCTTCTCTCAAAAACATTTTGTTAATACCACCTACTTCACTGGATCATTGTAAGTTCTGCATATGATAGAGCATAACAAAGTATGTTGCTGGTGGGGGATGTTGATAATGGGAGAGGCGATGCCTGTGTAGGGGCAGGGGATATATGGGAAATCTTTGTACCTTCCTCTCAATTTTGCTGTGAACATAAAACTTCTCTTAAAAAAAAATCGTCTTTAAAAAATTAAATTTAGGCTGGGTGTGGTGGTTCACATCTGTAATCCCTGTATATTGGGAGGCCAAAGGCAGGAGGATTCCTTGAGGTCTCAAGACCGTCCTGGGCAACATAGCAAGACTCTGGTCTACAAAAAATTTAAAAATTAGCCCTGCATGGTGGGGTGCATGCCTGTAGTCCTAGCTACTTGGAAAGCTGAGGCAGGAGCCTTGCTTGAGCCCAGGAATTCGAGGCAGCAGTGAGCTATGATTGCACCACTGCATTCCAGCCAGCTTGGGCAACAGAGCAAGACCCTGTCTCAAATAAATAAATAAATTTTTAAAAGACTGATACTTAGTGTTGAACAGTATAATTGCTGACCTTGTCTATGATGTAGAAATCCTGCCTACAATGTGGAATACCTAGGAAGCCACCTCAAACTCTCTCTATGCAAGCAGCCAAACAGTCTCTTAAAAACACAACTCAAACCTCATTTGTGGCCATGCCCTCCTAGTTCACTAAGCACCAGTTATATCAGGTACACACTTCTTTCTACAAAGCTATCCCCCTTCTCCAGGTCTTTGCATTTGCTGTACCTAGAACTTGAAATGCCCTACACTCTGCTCTTTCTTTTTCCTGCTTGTTTCTGTTTCTTCAGGTGTCAGCTCAAACATTATCTCCTCAGAAGGGCCTTTCCTGACCAGCCCCTGGAAGATAGGTCTCCCCATCCTACTACCATCCTGAGCTATTCTCTGCTTGCTCTAGCCCTCCATAGAATTTAGCATACCATAGAACCATATATCTTTGTTCACTGCTCATGCACTATAATCAAACTCATAAGTGCCAAGGTCTTATCTATCTTATCGTCTACTGTATCCCCCATGGCTAGAAGAGTGGCAGCACATAGTAGGCAGCCAGGAGACATTTATGCAATGAATGAATGAAGAGTATCAACTGCAAATGCATTCATTTACATTCTCACATTCCACTGTGCCTATGAAAAAGGCAGGGTCAGTATGATTTTTCTCATTTGAATGACTTGCCCAAGGTCACAGCTTGTAAATGACAAAGTCAGAGCTTAGATTTGGAGTTCCTGACTCATAATTCCCTAGTACTCCCACTGCTCAACAGCCTCAACTAATTTAGACATGGAAGGGTTGAAAATAGAGCAATATATCTAGGCTTCAGCAACAGGGAAGAAGAAGAGAAAGATCTGCTTTCCTACAGAGGTAAAGTAAGAGAGATGGAGGGGAAGAAATGGTGAGCTATTATCTTATACTCTCGGGCTGTGGATTAGTAAAATTCATTCCTTCATCTGAATGAAATGCAACTGCCTCTGGTATTGCAGCTCATGAAACCTCTCATCACCAAGTCACAGTATGGAAGAAACACTTTGCTGATTGAAGCAGCAAGTGAAATTTTAGGTAAGCCAGATGCAATTGCCTAAATTGGAAAGTGACACCAGTCTTCACACCTTTTGAGCCACATGCAGCAGACTGAGAACTAAGTCACATGCGTACACATATCCCAAAACTACAGTCATCTGCATATGGCATGGGGCTCCACATCTCCCAGGCATGCTGACTCACTGACTAGAGAGAAGGGGAGGAGAAAAGAGAAGAGGGGAGCAGATGAGTACAAGAGGCAAAGGAGAAGAGAGAGGGATAAGGAAGTTGAAGATGGGTGGGAAAGAGAAAGAGAAGGACAAAAGAAGAGAAGAGAGGGAAAGACTGCAGAAGAGGAAGAAACTAAAATAAGAATAAGGATCAGGGAAAAATGAAGACTATTATCTGCTAAGATTTTTGCCGCAATGCTCAAGTGGCCAAATGCTGGTACAAGAAAGTCCCTGAGAATTTCTGGGGTCAGGGTTGTTTTGGTTTTTTTGTTTTTTGTTTTTTGTTTTTTTTATTTTTTCCAGAGAATTCTGAAAAAAAATTCTGGTTTCAATAATCATCTTCCAAGTTTCTCAGGTGTTTGATTATTCTTGCTGTGCCTCCATCAACAAGCAAGGAACCAGAGTCTAGGGCTCTCCCAGTGAGAAGGGGCCACCCGATACAGACACCGTACTGGCCTCGGGCCTTAGGCCTGGACTCAGCCCAGAGCCACAGAGCTTCAGTTCTAGCATTTCTACCCATTATCTCACTCTTCCTCCAGGCAAACACAGGGCCTGCTTCTACCACACACCCCTCCACAGCACTCCCCTGGGCATCTGCACAGCCTAATGGGCAGCCTACCAAAAAGCTGAAAGCCTGGTGAAAGCTTGTGCCAAGCTAACAGTATTCTCAGCCCTTCCACAAGTATGTTCATGGTGAACTTGCAGCAGAGAAAAACAGTTGATCACATTTTCCACTTCTGGCTGAGACTAGAAATACTACCTTCTCTCCTGCTGCCATCCAGGTATCTCCTGTATCTCAGACCCCACCATTGGTTGGTTGTCAGTCTGTCATTCACCTGTGCAATGCTTCCCCAGGCTGACTTTTTCCCAGTCTCACTGACACTGCCCTGGCTAGGGCCTTCGTTGTTTCTCAGGTCATCAGCTAAACTGCAATTTGATTGTTCTCCTGGTCCTCCACTGGCATGCTCTGTCTTCCAACACACCCCTCCCCTTCCTCCTAAATCAAACATGCTTGGGGCCCAGGAATCTGTGTTTTCTTTTCCTTTTTTTCCTTCAACTTTTATTTTAAGTTCTGGTGTACATGTGCAGCATGTTTGTTACATAGATAAACGTGTGCCATGATGGTTTGCTGCACAGACCAACCCATCACCTAGGTATTCAGCCCAGCATCCATTAGCTATTCTTCCTGATGCTCTCCTTCCCCCGCCCCACCCATGCCCTGACAAGCTCCAGTGTGTGTTGTTCCCTGCCATGTGTCCATGTGTTCTCATCTTCAGCTCCCGCTTATAAGTGAGAACATGCAGTGTTTGGTTTTCTGTTCCTGCATTAGTTTGCTGAGGATAACAGCTTCCAGCTCCATCCATGTCCCTGCAAAGGTCATGATCTCATTCCTTTTTACGGCTGCATAGTAGGGAATCTGTGTTTACTCAGGTACATCTGATGCAGCCAGATCACAGTTAGGAACCACCGGTGGGATTCATCCTTCACACAGCTGTAAATTATCTCCAGGATTCACATTTTGCCCTCTTTTCCCTGGGGCTGCAGTATGACTTTTGTAGGCCGTAGGCATTTTTACCTTCATGGACCTATTCCTCTATTAACAGAAAAAAAAACATATATTTTAATGACTGCATTTGAATAAAGATGAATTCATTATTGTTATACTTATTTATTTTATTCTGATTTTTAAAGGCAATTAAAATGTAAACATTTTTGTGGACCCTAAAATTATTGTGGTTTCTAGACACTGTGCCTAGTAGATAAGTCAGCCCTACCTCACCCCATCTCCAAATCTTCACTGGCCTCCCACTGCCTGCAGAATAAAGTCCAACCTCCTCAAGCAGACTCACCCTGACCTGGGTCTTATCTTCCCAGCACCATCTGCTATAGCACCTCCCACCCATCTGGGCTCCAGCTTCAAGCCTAAATGCAATTCTCTAAACATACCATGCACTATGATGCCACTGTGCATTAGCCCAAAGCCCAAAACGGGTTTTCTTTCTTTCTTTTCCTACAGATTTCTGGCTCAAATATCAACTTCCACTGTGGCCTTCTTTAGTCTTCCTGGTTAAAATTATGGCTCCTTCTTCTGCACCCCTATTGCACTTTATATAACTATTATTATACTATTTATTCACCCTGACTTTTGTCAAATATCTCCAATTCTAATTGCACTTTTTTCACAGCATAACACTTCTAAAATTAGGAAGTGGCTTACAATGTATGCCAAACACACTTGCCAGCTACCAGGTAGAGTACTACACCACAATACAACAACAGTAATTTTCTGCACATGCAAACTTAACACTGCACAGGAGGCATTGGCTCATCTGGTTGCTTCCTTGGTGGTGACATTTGCGCTGTTAATACTACACGCATTTTAATTTTAATTTAAAGTTTCTATCTCTAGCACTTTTAAAACTATGTTCTGATGTGTTATTGAAATAAAAAGATATTTTTTGCATCTAGACTATGGCCTGTGACATGTGGGATAAAGCAACTAAAGGTAGTAGAAATTGCCAGATCCCTTGGCACATGTTATGGAACTTCCTAATTTCTTGGACCGTGAAGAACTTCTCCTCAGATACTGAGCTACTCTTTCAAAAGCTTCCAAGTAAATTTCAGGAATAGCTGTTTAATATACAATAACTGTAATTTAGTTTTTTCAGAGTTACACCTTTCGCAACAAGGAAATGCACAATCTAAACTCCAGCATTCTTCATCCATCTCAAACATAGCTTTTTTCCAAAAGGAGTTCAAGATGGTGAGCACAGATTTAAAAAAGCAGTTAAGTTAGCACAAAGCTTATATACAACTGCAGACGGCCAAAGATGATACAAAGAACTTTTAATATTAAACCTGAAAATGGCTAAGATTAAAACTTAATGACACCGATTAAGAAATACACAGATCTATAGATGAAAGTCATCTATTGTCAGTTCATTAAAAAAATTGTATACATTTTGAGTTTCCTTTTTTGGCTAAAAAAAAAAAAGTGACCTTTATGATGAATCATACAGTAGATTGTATTTGTTGGTCGAAAAAGCACAATCTTTTGGTAAGCTAATTCTTTCTTGACATGTCTATATTAGAAAACTGTTAAGGATCTAGGCTATATATTAACCATCTTTCTTTCACTTCCAGTGTCTTTACATATGAAAAAATGCTCATTACTGAATTGGTCTAGCTTTCGACCAACAGTTACATTTCTCTCAAACCTGGCCTCATTTCTGTTAAAACCTAGCTGTATGCTTATTTTTAGATTTGGATGGGCATATTTCATTATAAATGCCCTTTTAAAAATTCAAAATCCATTCATGCTTTTGTGCATCCAACAAGTATTTATCAGGCTCCTAATAAATGCCAAGCAATGACAAGACTACAAAGGCAAATAAGACCCAGCCTTGCTCTGAACTTTACTTACAGACTAGAGGGAGAGACAGGCCAGGCAGCATGTCACAACTCAATGTGATGAGAGCTGTGATACGGAAGTAAAGGCTGCTGAGGAGCATGGAGAATGACCATTGCATGCAGCCTGCGATTAAGGAATATCTGAGCTAAACCCTGAAGAATGAATAGGAGATAACCTGGAAAAGTGGGTGTCCAGGGGTCTATGGGATAAGTTGGCCTGAGTTGAGAGAACAGTGTATGCAAAAACATAAAGATGGAGGTGCAGGCTGGGGAGGGGATCTACCAGTGGAGCGACAACAAGTTTTGTTGGGCCAGCTTTCACAGGTGCCACAAAGGGCTTCTGATGTCCTGTTAAGAATACCTTGGATTTTATCCTAAGAGCAGTGGGGATCCATTTTCATTTGCAATATATTTTTCCAAAAATATATAATGCTTCATCAATTGTATTGTTCTCTCAGTGCCGTATCAAGTCTTAATCAGCTTTATTCAATGCTGTTTTTGCTGTTTTCATTTCCAGTGTTTTTAAATTCTTTATATTTAAGTAAAGAAAACATATTTGTACTTTCATGGGATTAAAAAACAACTGAACTCATTTTGGTTCTCTCAATCACTCCTATTTTTCCTTGCCTCAGAGAAAGAAGCAAATAAAAAAATTCACCACTAAATTCTTCATTTGCAATCGTATGGGCATTTCTCTATGGCATTTTACTCAATATAGAATAAGTAGAGCCTGTGTAACCTCACGCAACTTAACCTCTCTGTGCCTTAGTTTATTCAACTATAAGATGACCGTTACTATCATTTACCTTATAGGATTCTTATGAGGGTTAAATGTGACACCATATGCAGTGTTTAGCATAATCCCTGAATTATAATAATTAAATTGTAGCTATTTTTGTCATTAAGCATTATTGAACAATGTACATATATGAACATGGTTAAACTTTGAATTTGTATTTTATTATAATTCTAATGGTATACACATACATATACATATATGTGTAAAGCATATATATTTACACACACTCATGTTGTACGTTGAAAGTCCTTCCAGAAACTTTTAGTAGAAGTTATCTCTGAGGCAAGGACCTAAATGATCAGGGAGGGGAGAGAATACTTAACTTTTCTCATTTTATTCCTTTCTGTAATCTTTAATTCTTTTTTAACCTTTTATAATAAAAATTGGTGAAAACCCCTGTTGTGCAAAATAATAAAAAAAAAAAACATTATTCTCAAAGCTTAGGATAATTATATGGAAATCATTTTATATAGAGAAAAAAGCATGTGGAACTTAGGTTTGATTGGCCTAGAAAAGAGGAAAATTAAGACTAAGAGAGAATTAGTACCTGTTCTCAAAAATCTGTTGTCTAAGGGCTACCATGTGAAAGAAGGATTAGACATAATTTGTATCTAGAGAACAGAAAGGCTGATTTTGCCCAAATAAAAAGAACTCTGCACTGATGAGAACAGTTCAAAGACACTGCCCCAGTAGCTAAAGCTCCATCACAGAAAGTGTCCACCATTGGCTACCTGGCCAACTTTCCGAGATTTGGTTCCAGGGATTCCCCTTCCAAATCTATGAAATCTGGCAGTCTCCAAGCATTTGAAATTTGAAACTTAAATTGACGTATCTTATTCTGTAATCCAGTAACTGGTGCATCTTTAAACGATTATCCAGAAACATCCAAACTATAACCACACATTAAATAAGTTATATAAATTGGCTGGGCACAGTGGCTCACGCCTGTAATCCCAGCACTTTGGGAGGCTGAGGCAGGCGGATCACCTGAGGTCAGGAGTCCAAGACCAACCTGGCCAACATGGCGAAACTCCGTCTTTTCTAAAAGTACAAAAATTAGCCTGGCTGGTGGTGGGTGCCTGTAATCCCAGTTACTCAGGAGGCTGAGGCAGGGGAATTGCTTGAACTAGGAGGAAGAGGTTGCAGTGAGCCGGGATCACACCACTGCACTCCAGCCTGGGCAACAGAGTGAGACTCCGTCTCAAAAAATAAAAAAAAAATAAAAAATAAGTTATATAAATAAACTTTGCCTCCAACCTACAAGACCCTTCAATGGGCAGATATTCTTAAGAAAGGATTATTAGTACATATATGTTTATTATACTTCCATGAAGTATACAATTATCCAAACACGTATCTCATAATGTTGAAACCTGGTTCAAAATGTGGATGCTGTGTTTAAACACTAACTAAAATAGAATTTGTTAAAGGTAATTTTTGTTTCCAACCAGACTCACACTACATGGTATTTTAGCATTGTTCATTATCCTTATTCTTTTTTTTTAATATATACAATATTTTGTTTATTTATATATGTGAATTTCTATATATTTAAATATATAGAACAAAGCCTAAAAAGTGAGAATCAAAAGAGAAATCCTTACCTATCATTATACTTATTCTTTAAAAAGTATTAATATCTGTTTCCAGATTTTAATTGGACTACTCTTTTTCAGTTTGTCATTATGAACTTGGTAAATTAAGCCCAATATTGGAACACTTTAGCAGCTCAATATTGAAAGTTCTACTTTTGTGGTTCTACTTTCCCTGAAAAGTGGGGTGCACACAAGAGAAATAGGGGGTTTTCGGCATTGGGATAGTGCAGTGCCTTTGAGATATGACAGGATGACCTTTAAATGACAACCTTTTCTAGAGAATAATTTGAATGAAGAGAAAGTGAGCCAGGGAAGGCAGAGAGCTCTGGAAGTCACATCTGGCTAGGAGACTGCTCTGGTATCTACCACTTGAGAGGCTGTTGACTTAGAAAGCCATTACATTCCTCTGAACATGTACCCCTCTTTTATCTAAAAACAGGGGGGAAATCAAAGTAGATAAAAATGTTTCCATTTCAACAATCAGTTGATATTGTGTCTACCCAAAAGTTTAGTTCAATGGGGAAAAACTCAAACCTTTGAGTCAGAAGACCTAAGTCTGGCTGTCATTATCTATTCTACCTTTGATAGGTCTCCTACCACCTCTGAGAATAAGTTTCTTCATATGATAAATTGAAAGGGCAAGATACAAAGTAAAGAAAAACTGCAAATGTATTTTTATATTGTTTTCAGCCTCAACTAAAGCTCTGTGGTAAGAACAGCTCTTATGATTCCACTTTTATAAATGGGAACAGGCCAAGCATGGTGGTTCATGTCTGTAATCCGAGCACTTTGGGAGGGAGGCCGAGGTGGTCAGATCGCTTGAGCCCAGGAGTTTGAGACCAGCCTGGGCAACATGGCAAAAAACCCCATCTCTACAAAGAAAAAAAAAAAAAAAATTAGCCAGGCATGGTGGTTCATACCTGTAGTCCCAGCTACTCAAGAGGCTGAGGCAGGAGGGTCATTTGAGCCCAGGAGGTCCAGACTGCAGTGAGCCATGATCACACCACTGCACTCCAGCCTGGGCAATGGAGCAAGACCCTGTAATCACAGCACTTTGGGATGTCAAGGCGGGCAGATCACTTGAGACCAGGAGTCCGAGACCAGCCTGGCCAACATGGCAAGAGCCCGTCTCTACTAAAAATACAAAAATTAGCCGGGTGTGGTGGTGCACGCCTGTAATCCCAGCTACTTGAGGGGCTGAAACACAAGAATTGTCTGAACCCGGGAGGTGGAGGTTGCAATGAGCTGAGATCGCACCACTGCACTCCAGCCTGGGTGACAGAGCTATCTGTCTAGAAAAGAAAAGAAAAAGGTTACTAGGTTTTTCAGCGAGTAACAATAATGCAGAGGTTTGATCCCAAGTCTCCAAGCACAGACACATGCTGCTTCCCCAACCTATTTAATAAAATTCTGGGGAAATGAAATAAGAGAATTGTCCAAGTGTTCTATTATAAACAGTCTTACAAGTTTAAGGTATTATTAAGACTAAGCTTTAAATCATGTAGCGAGATGTCAACATATTTTTTCCACTCATTAATATTTCTATCAGAGCAAAAGTCCCATAAACCACTGATCCTATCCAGCATGTCACAGTACAATCAGTTGAATAAATGGGCAGATTACTGCCACTTTAGAAATGATCCATGAACTTAATTAGATATACTAAACAAATGGATATATTTACACTGCACAGGCCACACTTTGAGGATCTTAGAAGAAAGAACTATAATTAGGCAAGACATATAGTTGTACTAGTAAAAGAATCCTACTCTCAGAGTCCAATCCTTCATTCAAACCAAACAAATCATTCTCAGTTGAAAATATGCATCAAAATCATTGTAAGATACCCTGTACTTCTACAACAAAGCCACAATATTCCCCTAATAAAATATAGGAGTGAATGATGGATAAGGGGAGGAGAAAAGGAATCCCTGCAGCCTCTTCACACAACACCACTTTGATCAAGTTTAAGAATCAACTCCTGGCAATAGCACTTTAGAGATAACAATATTCTTAATGAAACACTTTCCCATCACAACAGATTATTAAAGCAATCCATTATTCTTCTCTCCACCTATTAAAAAAGTCTGATTTAGTGAAAAAGACAATCCTCAAAAATCCAGGACTTACCATAGGCTGCTCTGTGTTATAGTTACTGCCCCCACTGAGAGTCCCCTAGAGGCCAGAAGGATCTCATTCACTACTGTGTTCCCTCACAGTGCTTGGCACATAGCTGGGCTCAGAAAATGTATGTTGAACTTATTCTACAATGTAACATATTTCAAAAACCAATTTCAACTCTTAAAATAATAATCCCTATGAAAAAGGAAAACATATGTATTTCATATTTCTTTCATTTTCCTGAAGTGAGGCTCCTTCACACTCATTTGGAATATGTTTGTTTTCATTTCAATTGTTTACATGCTCACTACATGTAAACATTATTATGGTGGCATCATTCAGAGAACATGAATCTTTTTAAGATTTAAAGGAGATTACATCCAGTCAAAAGATGGATTACACTTTGATATATCACAGATTTGAAAAAACATACATTGAATAACCACATACAACATCAATAAAAAAGTCCTGCCTGGGCGCGGTGGCTCATGCCTGTAATCCCAGCACTTTGGGAGGCCGAGGCAGGCAGATCACCTGAGGTCAGGAGTTCAAGACCAGCCCGGCCAACATGGCAAAACCCCGTC